>NC_000002.12:19024906-19176422 GCF_000001405.40 Homo sapiens | reverse complement strand
CTTAGCACTTAGCACAGCGTCTGGCATATCATTGGTGCTCACTGAGGATTTAGTAAATTAGTGAGTGTTCAAATGGAAAATTTGATATTACTTCAGAGACTAACAATATCTTAAGGACAGCATCTGTCTTCCATGCCCTTGTTTTTCCTGCAGTCCATGACTAATAATCATTTGGTGTTTATGGGAGGGTGGGTGGATGTGTGGGCATGATAGATGGAGAGTTTGGATATTTGAAAGAATTACCAACCAGCTCAACTTATTTTCTTTACAAACATGTTACTAGAGTGAACCATTCTATATTTCGTATTTTATGTAGGGATATGTTTTAAAGTAGCTCTGTACTTTGATACTGCATTCTATCAGACTTGTATATAAGGCCATATTGTTGAGGGCTATTGAGAGATGGAGAAGCAGAGGATTCTTTGAAAAGCTGCATGAGAAAGAATTGTGGGTGGCAAAGGGACAACTAGGTGTAATTGCTAACAGGAAGAGACAGATGCTCTTCTCATTAGCATCATCAATATCTGTGCTGCTTGTATGATTTCAAAGCCTGTATGGAGAGTTTCCAATGGCATATTCACCATCAGGCTCTACATATGATGAGTAGAGAGGTAATATAACCACGGAGCAGAAATGAATTTCCAGCCTTTTTACAGTTCAGTGTGCATAATGGAGAACCTACAGATGTTAGAAAGAACAGAGAGGCCTGAGCAACGCATGCTCTCCTGAGAGAAGGGATGCATGGGTTTACAAACTAGTTCTAATCGGAAGATTATTGTTTGTGCTTTCTGTCATTTAAAGCTATTTACAGATTTGGATTCAAGAGTTTCTGTTCCATATTGAAGCATTTCCAGAAGCAGTGAGAAAAGTGATTGGGGAGGTAGAGAGTCATAGCGTGCAGGTATGGCAAGCAGACATGATTCCTAAATAAATTAATAAATTATTGCAGAAATTGCGATTCTCCAACATGTGCCAGTATTTGTCTCTTTGGCCATATGAGAACAGAGTAGGTTACTGAATTCATAATGTTAACCCTGGAGGAGACCTATCCAAGGTCTATTGCAAGTCAGGAGCCCACTGGGGACTCTAAGGCCAGGCTCTTCCCATGATGTCCTGGCAGGTACACATCCAGACTCTACCACCCTGTAATTTCTGCCCTAGTTTAATTTGGCATGGCCACTTTTTCCTAACTATAGTCTTTTTTCTACCACAGAGTTTAAGTAACACTGATACATAATCAAATAACCCGTAACCTTGGTACTTCAAGTATGATCTGAGGACTAGCAACCTTGGGTCACCTGGGAGTTGCAGGCTTTACTGAGGAACTCACAGATGATCAGAAGTGAAATTTAACATGACCCCCAAGTGACTCATATGCACTGTCCTCTAATGCTCTGCCCTCTAATGCTCTTCACTGGGCTGCTTCATTATAATGGCCATTCTGGGGTCCTTAGATTTCTAACACTTTAGTCTTAAATTATAACCCTATATCTTACCAGCAAACTTTTTGTTTGTTTGTTTCATCTTAGAGATTTCTTTTCCTAGCCCACTTCTGATAAGTGCTACCTTGCTTACTGGAGATGAGTCCTTCAAGGATTTGTGCATTCATAGAGAGTCACTTCACTTCTTTATCCACTTAATCCACATCTGATATTCGTGGCTTATTTTAATATTCCTAAAGATAACAGTTCTTAATTTCCTGAAGCTATGTTAAATTGTAGATCATGTCTTCTTAAAGTTGAAGACATTAGATTCAAATTATAATTTTGATGTTAAGAATAAACCTTTACAAAAACTATAAATGATAATATTTCCAATAGTAGGCCCTTCACAAAAACCTTTATGGGCCCTCACTGGGCAACCTTTTATAAACCAAAAAGACCAGAATAAGAAGTTTGTGTACCCACTTCCACCTCCAGACCCCTGCACAGAAAAATGTAACACACTGTGGGGTGAAATGAGCTGGTCTGTACTCTGGGAAAAAGTAGAAATATGGTGAAAATAAACAAACCTATCAGGCATTTAAAGCAGTTTTGGCAGAGGATTTTGTTTGTAATACAACATTGTTATAATAAACAAATGTGGATGAAGAGGGGCTTGATTAGACTTTTTATAGTTTCCAAATGTTCGTGAAAGGCAGTGTAAACTGGGTTTTGAATTAATCTACCTCCTCTATTATGCCTGTTCGGTTGCAATGAACTTGTGGTTTTTAAAATTATCCAGTTTGCTGGTAAGTTTAAAATTGTTCATCTAAAATTAAAGGAATGCAGCCTTCAGATTGAGACAGATGTCAATTCATATGCCAGGCCCAGCATTTACTAGTCCTGTGAACTTTGACAACTCAGTTTTCTCATCTGTGAAATGTAGAACTTCGTAACTGCTATATAGGGTTGTCTTGAACTTTAGAGAAAATGAATGCAAAATATCTGGGAAAGATATTTCCCTGGAAGACCAGGGAAAAATGTCTCTTGGTAACTTGACTTAGGAGTTAAGCTGCATAGCTGTCCCCAGCATAAAAATTAATCTTATCATTTAACTCTGTCAATAAGACAGATTTTAGAGTTACATTTCAGGAATATAGTGAGTCAAATAGACATCTATGGATTCCTGGAGGCCATGTTGTTACTACAAGATGATTCCCTGGTTTCAGCCTAAAACTCCAAAGGAGAAATATATCTTAATTTCCTTCCATGAATGCAATGGCTATTAACACAGGTCAAATTTCTTGCTAATGAGGATTTGTGGAGAAGTATCTGTGACCTCAGCATGGGACCAGTCAGACATTCATATGCCTAAGGTGTTTGAATGTCAGGTGTTCGTTGTCCAGCTGAGTTGCTGTACAGAAGAAGAGCTGCTGGTGTGGTACTTGGAAGTTGGACATGGCATATATTAGAGGACTTGGGAGGAAGCAGTGGGGAAATCAATAAGCTCTGTTCTACCCCGATCATCAGTAGATACTTAATATTTATTTTATGTGCTTACATATCTGTTAATGAAAACTTCTATAATTTTATTTAAAGAAAGCTTATAATTAAGGAGCAGACCATTGGCTGATATACTTTAGGTTCCTTATGTAGTGAAAACAATTGTGAAGTTAAGGTTTGTGGCTGGAAGTGAGTGAGCTTCAGGCAGAGAAGAGAGTCACACAAGTATTTCTTCACCTGGTTCTTATAGGTTGCATTAAAAATGAGGTTCACAATTGAAAAAATGTATTTCTAAAATGATTTATTTTACCCTACAAATGATAAAACCATTATTCAAACCATTTATGTTTATTTCTATGAAGTTACTTTTCTTTAATCAATTATTTATACTGAACATTTTTATTTTTTGTTTCTTACGTAGTTTGCCCTTCTTTGAAAAAATAAATTACATTAGAAAAATCAAAAAATATATTTTTTGTTGATATTTGTATATGATTCAAAAGCAGTTTCTTCAAATTGAAAAAACATTTACAGGTGCCATTACTTTCTGTATTCATATTCTTACTGATTTTAGTTTGATTTTAGATAAGTCTTTTAGGTATTAAGATAGAAATTTTTTTTCCTACCCATGCACCAAAGTCCCATACGGAAACTAGAATATTGACAAAAACATGCTATGAAATCCTCCTATCTCATCTCCTTATCTCTTCCCACTTAAGGTAACAGCCATCCTAATACTTTGTTGATTACACCTTTAACAATTTTTATTGTATGCATTTAAGGTGTACAACAAGATATTTTGATATATATAGATAGATAGATAGTAAAATGATTACTATAGTCAAGTAAGGTAACATTGACATCATCCACATATTTATTCATTTATAACTTTTTTGAAGTTATTATGCTTTTACATTTTTAAAAACATATACAAAGAGGTTAGGAAATACCTTTATCCCCTAGGAACATGTGATTCTTTCAGAAACATTCAATGCAATGTAAAACAATACTTAGGCTGGAGGAGATGTTCATCCTTGTTTTCTATTTAAATACTGAAATTTAATGTTTGGCAAGCAGTGGCATAAATCAAATTTTATGGCACTCTAAAAGCAGTTCTGCATCTTACGTGAGGAACCTGCTTTTAAATAAGAACATTATGTCATTTACCATCTAGAACTTGGGTAATTAGCCAATTCTAATAAAAGAATGCAGGGTTCATAACATGTTACATCTGAACTTGTTTTCCTATTGGTGCTGTACATAGCAAAATGATGCATTTTATGAGATAGAAGGTGGGTCCTTCTTGTTTCCTGACTATTATGAGTAATCAAACCAGGAAACAATGACTGGTGCTTTACTAGAGGGTAGACACTTAGTAAAGATCAAAGTAACTTGGATATGGGAAATCTATTAATCATTATTTTGTTATGATTGTTAATAGAACTTTTCTATGTGTGTTATCTACTTGGCTGATGACCTAGACCACAATGTAAATTTGACCAACTTAATCAATAAACATTTGCAAAGTTTTCAGTTTCTAAAAGCTCTTATTTTCATATTCACCTTTGGAAAACTACCTAGAATTTACATTGATGAATGGAAGAATTACCGCTATGAAGTAAACTATTTTGGTTACTGAAGAAAATGACCTACTTAGGTTATTGAACCAAGAATCTACCAACAAACTACTCTGATCTCTTTAAAACTTTCTCATTTTCATCAGATTTCTAGTTGTTGAGAAGAAAAGTAAAGATGTCAGGTCTCACCACACATAATGTAAAATATGTTCACCTTTTGCTATGGTTTGAATGAGTCCTTTCCAAAATTCTTGTGTTGAAACTTGATGACCAATGCAATAGTGTTAAGAAATGGTTCCTTTTAGAGGTGGTTGAGTCATGAGGGTTCCTCGCTTATTAATGGGATTAAGGTCCATGATGGTTAATGCTGTCAACTTGATTGGATTGAAGGATGCAAAGTTTTGATCCTGGGTGTGACTGTAAGGGCATTGCCAAAGGAGATTAGCATTTGAGTCAGTGGGCTGGGAAAGGCAGACTCACCCTTAATCTAAGTAAGCACAATTTAATCAGCTGCCAGTGCAGCCAGAATAAAAAGCAGGCAGAAGAACTTGAAAAGACTAGACTGGCTTAGCCTCCCAGCCTACATCTTTCTCTCATGCTGGAGGCTTCCTGCCCTCAAACATTGGACTTTCGCTTTGGGACTCAAACTGGCTTGCTTGCTCCTCAGCTCACAGACTGCCTATTGTGGACCTTGTGATCATGTGAGCTAATACTCCTTAATAAATTCATATATATATATATATGTATATATATATATCTCCTATTAGTTCTGTCCCTCTTGAGAACTCTAATACAAGGTCCTTATGAAAGAGGCATTTGCAGCAACATGAATAAGCCTGAAGGACGTTATGTTAAGTGAAATAAGACAGGCACAGAAAGACAAATATTGCATATTCTCACTCATGTGTGGGAGCTGAAATAGTAGATCTCATGGAGATAGAGAGTAGAATGGTGGGTACCAAAATTTGGGAAGGGTAGGTGGGAGGGGAGGATGAAGAGAGGTTGGTTAATGGGTAAAAAAATAAGGTTATATAGAAGAAACAATGGCCAACTCCATTGGCTCACACCTGTAATCCCAACACTTTGGGAGCCTAAGACAAGAAGATCATTTGAGCCCGGGAATCGAGACATGCCCAAGAAACACTGGGAGACCCTCTCCCTACAAAAAATAAAAAATTAGCGAGGCATGGTGGTGCACACTTCTAGTCCCAGCTACTTGGGAGGCTGAGACAAGAGGATCACTTGAGCCCCAGAGGTCAAGGCTGCAGTGGGCCATGATGGCGCTACTGTACTTCTGCCTGGATGACAGTCTCAAAAAAAAAAAGAAAAGAAAAGAAAAGAAAAAAGATACAATGAACAAGTTCTAGTGTTGATTAGCACAGTAGTGTGACTAAAGTTAACAATAATTAATTGTATATTTTGAAATAGCTAGAAAATAAGTTTTGGAATATTTCCAACATAAATAAATGATAAATATTTGAGGTGGTGGATATCTCAATTACCATTATTTGATCATTACACATTGTATGCATGTATCAAAATATCATATGTACCCCATAATTATGTTAAATTATGATGTTATCAACAACAACAAAAAAGCTCCACATAGTGTCCTGCCCTTTTCTCCCTTCTCTCCCATCTGCCAGGTTCCTTCACACAGTGCTCCTTCCCTCTATAGGATACAACAAAATGATATTTTGGAAGGGAATACCAGCCCCTCCCAAGGCACCAAATCTGGTGGCATCCCAGCTTCTGGAACTGTGAGAAAATAAAATTTGGTTCTTTATCAATTACCCAGTCTATGTTATTTTGTAATAGCAGCACAAATGGACTGCGGCATTTGCCTTTGTAAGAAAAATGATATGCCATGTTTGGGAACGTTCAAATACATGCTATAGAAGAGCAATTTAACAAATGACCTTTAGCTACATCAACCTGTTTTAATATATGCATGCTTTCACCTTACATATAACAAGCTGAAATAAAATATTCAGTGTGACACATTTATTGATAACCTCATTTTATTCATGGGGAAAAATTAAATTTTCAATGTAAAATTTTTCCTTTTGTAGAAAATAACTTACAAGAATTTTCAGCTTCTTATTTTGTTACAAAAAGCAATTGAAATGTAGATATTGGTAAAAGGATCTTAGAATAATTCTCCCATCTTAATAGAAGTTTTGTCTTGGTTTTGTCTGTCTTATTTCACAATCTTTTATAAAACTCTCCTGAATATCAACTGCAACTATTCCGGTTTGTGACTGGTGTCACAGCAAATTCAGGAACACATTTATTCCTGCTGGGGGCAGAGGGGAGGGGGGCCCAGAAAGGGAAGGAAAAGAACCTATGACTCAGCACTGATCAGTTCTACTATTTGGAAAATTAATATCTCAGGGATTGTTTTGTTTTCCAATCTGAGAGCAATCTGCTTTGTAGTTCTTACCTCTTAGTTTACCAAAATCCCTTTCAATTCCAAAAAGGCTAGTACTGACTCATCACAGAGACAGCATGAGGCCATATTGCTTTGTGAAATTTTCATTCTGACAATCATGTTTCCAGACTGGGCCTTTTTGCAATGCTAATTACACCATTACCACTCTGCAGGCTAACATTTCTGTGGCAGAATCCCATAAAAGTTTGCCGTGTGTATATATCATAAATGCTCATCAGCTAGTTGAGACACATGTCCACACAGAGAGGGAAACTGATGAGATTGTTATGCTCTCACTCCAGGTGATTATGAATAGTAGACACACAATTATTGGCAGGATGTTCATAGATAGATCATTTTGCATATGGTTGTGCTGATCCAAGGCATTGCATGCTTCTAACAGGCTTTAGAGATCCCCATGTATCCTGAGTTGTACTTTTGAGATGCCTATCTCACCTACACACTCCTCCTGACTTCCAGCCCCATATTTCTTTATATATTCATTAAAAAGCATATACTTCAGTTTTGATTCCAAATTTATAAAAAAAGCTATTATGTGCTATGTAATATTTTGAGATTTACTTCTCTGCTTGATTATATATTGCTATGATTTATTCATATAATTGCATATAGAGTTTATATGTTTTAACTGCTATAAGATATCCCATTGTGTAAATATATCACAATTTATCCATTGTATTATTAAAGAGCCTTGTAATATTTCCAGCTATTGATCTTATAAATTTCTTATATATGTTTTCTGCAGATATGTAAGAGTAGCTTTTGGACACTCACACACACATACACATGTACACACACCTAGGAATGGAATGGAATTGCTATGTAATAAAGGTGTTTGAATATCTAGTCTTACAAGAAAATAGAAACCTGTCTTCCAACAGTAATTTACACATCTATCAGCAATGTGAAATAGATTTCATTGATCCCATTCTCTCAAACACTGGATTTCTTGATTTTTGCCATTGAATGGTTGTAGATGATATCTCATTCAGATCTTGACTGCATTTCCCACATCCCTAATGAAATCAAACATTTCTCATATTTATTGGTCTTATGTAATTACTCATGTAAAATACCGTTCATGTCTTTTGCCTACTTTTCTTTTGAATTCTTTTCTTTTTTATTTCTAGAAGTTTATGTTTTTGATACTTACCCTAATGTCGGTTATGTATATTGCAGTATATTCTCCCAGTTTATAGCTTAGCATTCTGCTCTTTTAAAAAATGTTTTGCTATATACAGACATTTTAATTTTAATGTAAACAAAATTACCAATTGTCTTTATTATTAGCAACATGGTTATTTTAAGAAATCTTCCCCTACTTAAAGATTAGAACTACAGTTTTCATGTTATGTCAATTATATTAACGAATGTGTTAATTCATTAACTACAATGTTATACATGCAGGCTATAGAAAATGCATAATATACAGTTATCAAAAACCTCTCAACCTAGAGGGGAAATAAGCTCATGAATAGATGATTATGTAGAACATAAGTGTTATTTTATTACAACATGTTGTACACTCAGGGCAGAAGTATGCTTCCATAAGGCAGGATACTGTAAAGTAGATAACTTTTGTAGTTTTCTTTGTATCTATCCTAAAACTTTACTGAAACAGATAGGAGAATATAGTCCAATTATTTGTCTGTAAAAATATTTAAATACCACAAAATAATCTGCTAAGAATGGCTCAGAAAAAACTGACTGTATAACAACTTTTATGTACTTATTTCCTTGTGAGCTTGAAATTCCTCCTACCTTCATCCCATTCTCCACTGAGTATGTCTTGGGATCCTTATTTCTTTTTATTTTATTATTATTATACTTTAAGTTTTAGGGTACATGTGCACAATGTGCAGGTTAGTTACATATGTATACATGTGCCATGCTGGTGTTCTGCACCCATTAATTCATCATTTAGCATTAGGTATATCTCCTAAAGCTATCCCTCCCCCACTCCCCCCACCCCACAATAGTCCCCAGAGTGTGATGTTCCCCTTCCTGTGTCCATGTGTTCTCATTGTTCAATTCCCACCTATGAGTGAGAATATGCGGTGTTCGGTTTTTTATTCTTGCGATAGTTTACTGAGAATGATGATTTCCAATTTCGTCCATGTCCCTACAAAGGACATGAACTCATCATTTTTTATGGCTGCATAGTATTCCATGGTGTATATGTGCCACATTTTCTTAATCCTTTCTATCATTGTTGGACATTTGGTTTGGTTCCCAGTCTTTGCTATTGTGAATAGTGCCGCAATAAACATACGTGTGCATGTGTCTTTATAGCAGCATGATTTATAGTCCTTTGGGTATATACGCCGTAATGGGATGGTTGGGCCAAATGGTATTTCTAGTTCTAGATCCCTGAGGAATCGCCACACTGACTTCCACAATGGTTGAACTAGTTTACAGTCCCACCAACAGTGTAAAGGTGTTCCTATTTCTCCACATCCTCTCCAACACCTATTGTTTCCTGACTTTTTAATGATTGTCATTCTAACTGGTGTGAGATGGTATCTCATTGTGTTTTGATTTGCATTTCTCTGATGGCCAGTGATGGTGAGCATTTTTCATGTGTTTTTGGGCTGCATAAATGTCTTCTTTTGAGAAGTGTCTGTTCATATCCTTCGCCCACTTGTTGATGGGGTTGTTTGTTTTTTTCTTGTAAATTTGTTTGAGTTCATTGTAGATTCTGGATATTAGCCCTGTGTCAGATGAGTAGGTTGCAAAAATTTTCTCCCATTTTGTAGGTTGCCTGTTCACGCTGATGGTGGTTTCTTTTGCTGTGCAGAAGCTCTTTAGTTTAATTAGATCCCATTTGTCAATTTTGGCTTTTGTTGCCATTGCTTTTGGTGTTTTAGACATGAAGTCCTTGCCCATGCCTATGTCCTGAATGGTATTGCCTAGGTTTTCTTCTAGGGTTTTTATGGTTTTAGGTCTAACGTTTAAGTCTTTAATCCATCTTGAATTAATTGTTGTATAAGGTGTAAGGAAGGGATGCAGTTTCAGCTTTCTACATATGGCTAGCCAGTTTTCCCAGCACCATTTATTAAATAGGGAATCCTTTCCCCATTGCTTGTTTTTGTCAGGTTTGTCAAAGATCAGATAGTTGTAGATATGTGGTGTTATTTCTGAGGGCTCTGTTCTGTTCCATTGATCTATATCTCTGTTTTGGTACCAGCACCATGCTGTTTTGGTTACTGTAGCCTTGTAGTATAGTTTGAAGTCAGGTAGCATGATGCCTCTGGCTTTGTTCTTTTGGCTTAGGATTGACTTGGCGGTGCGGGCTCTTTTTTGGTTCCATATGAAATTTAAAGTAGTTTTTTCCAATTCTGTGAAGAAAGTCATTGGTAGCTTGATGGGGATGGCATTGAATCTATAAATTACCTTGGGCAGTATGGCCATTTTCACGATATTGATTCTTCCTACCCATGAGCATGGGATGTTCTTCCATTTGTTTGTATCCTCTTTTATTTCATTGAGCAGTGGTTTGTAGTTCTCCTTGAAGAGGTCCTTCATGTCCCTTATAAGTTGGATTCCAAGGTATTTTATTCTCTTTGAAGCAATTGTGAATGGGAGTTCACTCATGATTTGGCGCTTTGTTACTGGTATATAAGAATGCTTGTGATTTTTGTACATTGATTTTGTACCCTGAGACTTTGCTGAAGTTGCTTATCAGCTTAAGGAGATTTTGGGCTGAGACAATGGGGTTTTCTAGACATACAATCATGTCATCTGCAAACAGGGACAATTTGACTTCCTCTTTTCCTAATTGAATACCCTTTATTTCCTTCTCCTGCCTAATTGCCCTGGCCAGAAGTTCCATCACTATGTTGAATAGGAGTGGTGAGAGAGGGCATCCCTGTCTTGTGCCAGTTTTCAAAGGGAATGCTTCCAGTTTTTGCCCATTCAGTATGATATTGGCTGTGGGTTTGTCATAGATAGTTCTTATCATTTTGAGATACGTCCCATCAATACCTAATTTATTGAGAGTTTTTAGCATGAAGTGTTGTTGAATTTTGTCAAAGGCCTTTTCTGCATCTATTGAAATAATCATGTGGTTTTTGTCTTTGGTTCTGTTTATATGCTGGATTATATTTATTGATTTGCATATATTGAACCAGCCTTGCATCCCAGGGGTGAAGCCCACTTGATCATGGTGGATAAGCTTTTTGATGTGCTGCTGGATTCGGTTTGCCAGTATTTTATTGAGGATTTTTGCATCAATGTTCATCAGGGATATTGGTCTAAAATTCTCTATTTTGGTTGTGTCTCTGCCCGGCTTTGGTATCAGGATGATGCTGGCCTCATAAAATGAGTTAGGGAGGATTCCTTCTTTTTCTATTGATTGGAATAGTTTCAGAAGGAATGGTACCAGTTCCTCCTTGTACCTCTGGTAGAATTCGGCTGTGAATCCATCTGGTCCTGGACTCTTTTTGGTTGGTAAGCTATTGATTATTGCCACAATTTCAGAACCTGTTATTGGTCTATTCAGAGATTCAACTTCTTCCTGGTTTAGTCTTGGGAGGGTGTATGTGTCGAGGAATTTATCCATTTCTTCTAGATTTTCTAGTTTATTTGCGTAGAGGTGTTTGTAGTATTCTCTGATGGTAGTTTGTATTTCTGTGGGATTGGTGGTGATATCCCCTTTATCATTTTTTATTGCGTCTATTTGATTCTTCTCTCATTTCTTCTTTATTAGTCTTGCTAGCGGTCTATCAATTTTGTTGATCCTTTCAAAAAACCAGCTCCTGGATTCATTAATTTTTGAAGGGTTTTTTGTGTCTCTATTTCCTTCAGTTCTGCTCTGATTTTAGTTATTTCTTGCCTTCTGCTAGCTTTTGAATGTGTTTGCTCTTGCTTTTCTAGTTCTTTTAATTGTGATGTTAGGGTGTCAATTTTGGATCTTTCCTGCTTTCTCTTGTGGGCATTTAGTGGTATAAATTTCCCTCTACACACTGCTTTGAATGTGTCCCAGAGATTCTGGTATGTTGTGTCTTTGTTCTCGTTGGTTTCAAAGAACATCTTTATTTCTGCTTTCATTTTGTTATGTACCCAGTAGTCGCCCAGTGAATCTCGCTGATTGCTAGCACAGCAGTCTGAGATCAAACTGCAAGGCGGCAGCGAGGCTGGGGGAGGGGCACCCGCCATTGCCCAGGCTTGCTTAGGTAAACAAAGCAGGCGGGAAGCTGGAACCGGGTGGAGCCCACCACAGCTCAAGGAGGCCTACCTGCCTCTGTAGGCTCCACCTCTGGGGGCAGGGCACAGACAAACAAAAAGACAGCAGTAACCTCTGCAGACTTAAATGTCCCTGTCTGACAGCTTTGAAGAGAGCAGTGGTTCTCCCAGCACGCAGCTGGAGATCTGAGAACGGGCAGACTGCCTCCGCAAGTGGGTCCCTGACCCCTGACCACCGAGCAGCCTAACTGGGAGGCACCCCCCAGTAGGGGCAGACTGACACCTCACACGGCCGGGTACTCCTCTGAGACAAAACTTCCAGAGGGACGATCAGACAGCAGCATTCACGGTTCACAAAAATCCGCTGTTCCGCAATCTCCGCTGCTGATACCCACGCAAACAGGGTCTGGGGTGGACCTCTAGCAAACTCCAACAGACCTGCATCTGAGGGTCATGTCTGTTAGAAGGAAAACTAACAAACAGAAAGGACATCCACACCAAAAACCCATCTGTACATTACCATCATCAAAGACCAAAAGTAGATAAAACCACAAAGATGGGGAAAAAGCAGAGCAGAAAAACTGGAAACTCTAAAAAGCAGAGCGCCTCTCCTCCTCCAAAGGAACGCAGATCCTCACCAGCAACGGAACAAAGCTGGACGGAGAATGACTTTGACAAGTTGAGAGAAGAAGGCTTCAGATGATCAAACTACTCCGAGCTACAGGAGGAAATTCAAACCAAAGGCAAAGAAGTTGAAAACTTTGAAAAAAATTTAGAAGAATGTATAACTAGAATAACCAATACAGAGAAGTGCTTAAAGGACCTGATGGAGCTGAAAGCCAAGGCTCGAGAACTACATGAAGAATGCAGAAGCCTCAGGAGCCGATGCGATCAACTGGAAGAAAGGGTATCAGTGATGGAAGATGAAATGAATGAAATGAAGCGAGAAGGGAAGTTTAGAGAAAAAAGAATAAAAAGAAACGAACAAAGCCTCCAAGAAATATGGGACTATGTGAAAAGACCAAATCTACATCTGATTGGTGTACCTGAAAGTGACGGGGAGAATGGAACCAAATTGGAAAACACTCTGCAGGATATTATCCAGGAGAACTTCCCCAATCTAGCAAGGCAGGCCAACATTCAGATTCAGGAAATACAGAGAACGCCACAAAGATACTCCTCGAGAAGAGCAACTCCAAGACACATAATTGTCAGATTCACCAAAGTTGAAATGAAGGAAAAAATGTTAAGGGCAGCCAGAGAGAAAGGTCGGGTTACCCACAAAGGGAAGCCCATCAGACTAACAGCGGATCTCTCGGCAGAAACTCTACAAACCAGAAGAGAGTGGGGGCCAATATTCAACATTCTTAAAGAAAAGAATTTTCAACCCAGAATTTCATATCCAGCCAAACGAAGCTTCATAAGTGAAGGAGAAATAAAATCCTTTACAGACAAGCAAATGCTGAGAGATTTTGTCACTACCAGGCCTGGCCTAAAAGAACTCCTGAAGGAAGCACTAAACATGGAAAGGAACAGCTGGTACCAGCCACTGCAAAATCATGCCAAATTGTAAAGACCATCGAGGTTAGGAAGAAACTCCATCAACTAACGAGCAAAATAACCAGCTAACATCATAATGACAGGATCAAATTCACACATAACAATATTAACTTTAAATGTAAATGGACTAAATGCTCCAATTAAAAGACACAGACTGGCAAATTGGATAAAGAGTCAAGACCCATCAGTGTGCTGTATTCAGGAAACCCATCTCATGTGCAGAGACACACATAGCCTCAAAATAAAAGGATGGAGGAAGATCTACCAAGCAAATGGAAAACAAAAAAAGGCAGGGGTTGCAATCCTAGTCTCTGATAAAATAGACTTTAAACCAACAAAGATCAAAAGAGACAAAGAAGGCCATTACATCATGGTAAAGGGATCAATTCAACAAGAGGAGCTAACTATCCTAAATATATATGCACCCAATACAGGTGCACCCAGATTCATAAAGCAAGTCCTGAGTGACCTACAAAGAGACTTAGGCTCCCACACAATAATAATGGGAGACTTTAACACCCCACTGTCAACATTAGACAGATCAACGAGACAGAAAGTTAACAAGTATACCCAGGAATTGAACTCAGCTCTGCACCAAGCAGAGCTAATAGACATCTTCAGAACTCTCCACCCCAAATCAACAGAATATACATTTTTTTCAGCACCACACCACACCTATTCCAAAATTGACCACATAGTTGGAAGTAAAGCTCTCCTCAGCAGATGTAAAAGATCAGACATTATAACAAACTGTCTCTCAGACCACAGTGCAATCAAACTAGAACTCAGGATTAAGAAACTCACTCAAAACCACTCAACTACATGGAAACTGAACAACCTGCTCCTGAATGGGATCCTTATTTCTAGTCACACTGAATTCTTAGCTTTTGCCAATGCACTTGATCAAAGTGTAGGTTCTGAGTATGTAGTCTACATCCAACTATATCTATGCATGGCTTTGATTATATCAAGTATAGTTTGCAAAAAAATAACAACGTTGGAGGTTTCATACTTCTTGATTTCAGATTATACTACAAACCTATTGTAACCAAAACAGTATGGTATTGGCATAACAACAGACACATAGACTAATGGAAAAGAATAGAGCGCCCAGAAATAAACCCATGCATATATGGCCAACTGATCTTTGACAAAAACATCAAGAATACACAATGGAAAAAATCTCTTAAATAAGTGGTGCTGGGAAAACTGAATATCCACATGCAAAAGAATGAAATTGTACCCTTATTTTACACAGTACACAAAAATCAATTCGGAATAGATTAAAGACTTAAACATAAGACCTGAAACTATAAAACCTCTAGCAGAAAACATAGCGAAAAACTTCCTTGACGTTAGTCTTGGAAGCACATTTTTGAATATGCTGTGGAAAACACAGGCAATAAAAGCAAAAGAAAGCAAGTGGGATTACATCAAACTAAAACGTTTCTGCACAGTAAAGAAAACAGTCAACAAAATGAAAAGGCAACCTTTGGCATGGGAGAAAATATTTGTAAACCATATATCTGATAAAGAATTAATATTTAAAATAAATAATTTATATAATTAGTAAAAAACAGATAACCCTTTAAAAAGTGAGCAAAAGACCAGAATAGGCATTTTTCCAAAGAAGACATACAAATGGCCAACAGGTACCTGAAAAGAGACTCAAAATCACTAATGATCAGAAAAATGCAAATGAAAGCCACTATAAGATATTACTTCACACTTGTTAGAATTGTTATTATGAGAAAAAAAATGATCATAAGCATTGACAAGGATGTATAGAAAAGGGGTTCTTGGTACATTTCCACCAACAGTGAGAATGTTAAATTTATTATGCTAAATTTGTACAGCCATTATGGAGAACAGTGTGGGGATTCTTCCAAAAATTAAAAATAGAACTACCACATGACCCAGCAATATTACTTCTGAGTATTTATGCAAAGGAATTGAAATCAGAATCTCAAAGACACATCTGAACTACCATGTTCATTGCAGCATTATTCACAACAGTCAAGAGATGGATGTCAATAAAAAGATGAGTGGATAAATAAAAGGTCACATATATATGCAATTAAATATTATTCAGTCTTAAAAAGAAGGAAATCCTGACATTTGTGACAACATGGAAAAACCTGGAGGGCATTATGCTAAGTGAAATAAGCCAGACACCAAAAGACAAATACTGTATGATCTCACTTATATGTGGAATCCAAAATAGTCAAATTTATAGAAGCAGAGAGTAGAATGGTAGTTCTAAGGTAGGACTAAGGGAAAGGGGATTTGAGGAGATATTAGTCAAAGGGTACAAAGTTTCTGTCATGTAGGATGCATCAGTTCTGGAGAGCAAATGCATAACATGGTGACCCTAGGTAACAAATTATATCGAATACTTGAAATCTGCAAAGAGGGTAGACCTTAAGTGTTCCTGTCTCATATGCACACACACACAAATGGTAATACATGAGGTTATGGATATGAAAATTATCTTGATTTTTATGATTATTTCACAATTTACAAATATGTTAAATCATCCAGTTATAGACTTTAAATGTATACAATAAAAGTGTTAATTTGTAATACTTTGAATTTAGCTAGGAAGCTTTGTAGAAAAATACTTTCTATGCAACTGAGTGATGACAATGTAGTGTGTGAGAATTCATTGTATGTGTTATGATTCAACATCAAGCATTAGTTATTAGATAATTAGTTACTTAATGTCAACATCTAAAAATTATGGAGAGATGAAAACAAAAAAGCATGCCTTGGAAAACGCAAGTTGCCTTCTTTCTTAGTGAAATGATTGTTTTATTTTCTCTTCATGAAAAGGTTTGAGTTCTCTCTGGTGGCTTCTGCAGAATTGATATCATGTGTGATCTCTGAGAGAAGAGAACACTTTAAACCACCTATAGTGGGATGTTCCATGTTTCGCTTTAAGCTGGATTTGAAAATTGATACCCATGGCACAAAGAAATGCACATGATGATACAACTGTGGAACATCATTAAAATTACCCCAGGCAGCAACAGCTGTAGCCCTATATGCTGCACCACAGCTGGATATCCTTTGTGTTATATAGAGAGACAGGTATGCAGAGAGTAAATGGAACAAGAAGAAGGGTTACCTAACTCCCATGAGGTGATCAGAGACTGCATCTTGGAAGAGGTGAATTTTAAAGGATCAGTAAGAGTTAGCTTGATGAGGTGGAGGACAGTACACATGGGGCAACTACCCTACATAAATCCTATTGAGCTTTAAAGATGGCTTATTTCCTTTTGTGGCTTGGAAGACATTGATATCATTCCCCAATTAAAATCTGTGGTATGGCAGTATGTGGATCCTGCCACCATTACCAACACCACTGGAAACCACCCTGGTGGTTAGCATATGTAAATATATCTCATATACATTCATTCAAAACGACATTCATATCAGAATAGATCATTGCACACAAGGGACAAAGGGCAAACTCTAGCCACAGATTGTGTGCCAAGAGGGTGGTTTTCCAAATGATCCCCCAAGGTCTCTTTCCTTACCAAGGGCAAAGTGTTCCCATGCAGGGTTATGCCACACGTTTCCATTCGAGCAGATGGCAGAAAGGTTTGTCTGCAATGTGGAACTTGTTAAGGGGGAAGGCCTTCCTGATAGAGATCAAGAAGGCCGCTTTAATTTACTTAGTGGTGGGATGGTTTGTAAGTCATTCATGCTTGTGAGGATAATGCCTTTATAATGACTTGTAAGTAGATTGAGAGCCTCCAGAGTTAACTCACGGGAAAAGGCTGTTTATCTGCTGCTTAGGTTTCTGCTGAACACTGCAGACAATATATTCACTTCTTTTCCATGCCATTTAATGACATTTCACATATATATCATTTTTTGGTACTTTGTAAAAATATTATTTTGCCTGTCTGGGGAAGGGGTCAAACATCGTAAGAAGGTTAGCTTTGAGAGATGACTTGATGGTCTATGCACAATATCATCAAGACTAACCACCACCAAAATGATCACAATCACCACCACCCCAGGGGCGATGTTGTACAAGTGAGGACGCTTTCACTAGGTTATGCTGTGGTAACAAACAACTCCCAAATGTCAATCATTTAAGACAAGAAAATTTTATTTTTCTCTCATACAAAGTTCACTCTGCAAAACTCTCCAGAGTAGCTTTCCTCCATAGGTGGGTTCAGCATTCCAGGCCATTTGAGTCTTATGGAATCTCTATATTATCACACATTTCCATAATCTCCCAGGCAGGAAAACAGAGCACTGGATAGTTCTGTGCTGAAAATTAAATGCTCAATCCTGGATGTGGCACACATGTGTTCTGTCCAAACCCTGCTGGCCAGAACTAGTCATAGAGCTCCACCCAACTGCAAGCTTAGCTGTGAAGTTTAATCCTATCATACACTGAAAAGAGGAAGAAACTGGATAAAGGCAAGTATTACAGTCCACTTTAATACGAATTATTTTAAATTTTCAAAGTAACTTTATCCAGCAAAGGTTATGTGTTCATATTAAAGATGAGATGCAATGTGGATTAGGTGCTGAGAGCATAGGTTTTGAGTCAGTCTTGAACCCCCAATATATAATCTGTGGGGCTCAGGCAAGACAAAATTCCTAAACTTGTTTCACTTTTTGTTAAATTGGGATAAGGTTATACACCTTATAGAGATGGTTTGAGGCATACATGCAATAGATTAAATGGGTAGCATAGTTTCTGACACGTTAAGTGCTCTAAAAACTTTAGCTCATATTATTAAAAGGCAACTAATTATCAGATGTTAAGAAATATATGTCTAATGAGTGAGGGAATAATTCATCTCACATATTTCAATTGAACAAATCAACTCAGAAGGCACAAATTTTTACACTGGGTTCAAAACTCTCATTTCTCTAATTTCAAGGCTCTCCTTTTTCCCATTGTATCACAGTGCCTCTTGTGATATAGAATGAATTAGCAGGTTGGGCCCAATTTTTATGAACAGTCCCTCTCCCTAACCCAGCCTCTCCATTTCAGTCTGACTCTATGCATGAAAAGGACTTTGGTTTAATCACAATTGCTCAAACATTTGCAAGGAAGACAGGCGACATCCTATCTTGTGTCAGAAGATTTAGATTTAGTCCTAACTTTACTTAATGCCTATGCAACCTTAGTCAGTTACTTAAGTTCTCACCTATAAAATATAGCATAGTAGAAGTTTGTGTGTCATAAAAACATAACAGTAGAAGTTTCTGATCTGACTTCACAGGGATGTGGGGATCAAATAAATTGAGAGATTGAAAAATACTTTGAAATATCCAAGGGGCTGTAACAGTAGATGTTGCTGCTATCATGATTTAGGGACAGAAAGGTGTTCTATCTAGCAAAGAAGAACATAGCACAGAAAAACAGATTAGTGTAGGGCACATGGGTCTGCTTTTACCAGAAGGACATATAGTGAGAACAGTTACTTGTCCAAAAGTCCAGAACCCTTTAGACACTTAAGATATCCTGCCTGTCACCCAACCTGATTTGCTGCCTGCCTCTTAGCCAACTACTCAGATTGATTCTTTTTGAAAATAGATTCAATGTATATGATTAACATTAAAACTGTTCCTTTTTAGACACATTTTTCTTAGCATACAAAAGCATGACAAAAATTTGGACTTAGGCATAAATAAAAACATCTTCAAATATACCATTGGCAAAGACACTATTAAGAAAATTAAATGATAAGCTGCAGACTGGGAGAAAATATTTGCAAAACAATTATTTGACAAATATATGTTGTATCTGCCATATGCAAAGAACTTGTAAAACCAAAAAAAAAAAAAAAGTGAAGACAACCTCACTTTAAAAAATGAGGGTAGGGAGCATTCTGTAAAGCAACTTGGCAGTGTGTCCTGGCCTATAGTCCTCAACCTTGGTCCAAATAACTCTCTCTATATTAAAAAAAAAAGTAAAATAAATGAGAGTAAAGTATGCGGAAGATGCTTTAGCAAAGAAGATATATTAATGTCCAATATCACTTGAAAATATGTTCAATGTTGTTAACATTATTGTCAGAGAAATGCACATTAAAAACACATGATACATTCAAAATAGGTAAATTAATAACGAAAACATACTATATATATATATCAGCTTTTTCTGTTATCAGTAAAGCTTCCAGTCAACAGTGGTTACCTTTTTGGAAGTCGAAAGTTATATACAGCAGGTCTGGGCGTGATGGCTCACGCCTGTCATCTCAGCAGTTTGGGAGGCTGAGGCAGGATGATTGCTTGAGTACAGGAGTTTGAGACCAGCCTGGGGAACATAGCAAGACCTTGTGTTAAAAACAAAAAAAAAAAAGAAAAAAAAAGTTAGACACAAAGTTTCTACTGCTTAGGAGGTTAGCGCCCCTAATCTCTGCATTGTTCAAGGGTCAACTGTATTTTGTTTGTGGGTTTTCAAACAACTGTATACATTTGTCAAAATTTATTAAACCACGCACTTAAAATAAGCCAACTTAATTGTGTGTAAATGATACCTCAATAAAGCTGATTTAATAATAATAAAAACGATTCCCTCTACATAGAAGAGAGGGAATGAACTAATACTGACAAATCAACCAATACTGACAAATAAACTAATACTGATAAAAGTTCTTTTTCATGTTGGCCTGTGTGTAGCAAACCAGCCATAGACCAGGATAAAAAATTTGTCAGCATTATTTTTTTTCCAGGTATGTCATTTAGCTTTTTGTCTTTCCTCTTTTCTTTCCTCCTCTCTCCCCACCGCCTGCTTTTTTTTTTTTTTTTTTGAGTCAGGGTCTCTGTTGCCCAGACTGGAGTGCGATGGTGCGATCTCAGCTCACTGCAGCTTAGACCTCTAGGACGCAATTGATCTCCTGCGTCAGCCTCCCTAATAGGTGGGACTACAGGCCCAGCTAATTTTTCTAGGTTTTGTAGAGAAAGGGTCTCACTATGTCGCCTAGGCTGGTCTCAAACTCCTGGGCTTAAGTCATCCTCCTGCCTCAGCCTTCCAAAGTGCTGGGATTACAGATGTGAGTCATCGTGCCTAGACCTCTTGGGTCTCTTTTACATACCCCCATTATTATGCTATTTTTGAATAGTTCCCTATTTTCTGACACTTCAAGATGTTCCAGAATCATTTTTTATATAACTATCCCAGCCCTAGAACCAGCCATTTTTCCTTGGAGCCCTGGCTTCTTTTATTGAGAATAATATTAGAAATAAAAATCTAGATGTTAGATGTGATTATTGCTGTTGGAGTAGCATTTTATCTAGGCCCTGTCAGCTAACAGAGCAAGAAAATATATACATGCCTACTAACCTATGTATATCAACATATCTATAAAGATTTCTATGTGTGTCCATCTACATCTATATTAAGCTAAACATGAGTTCATACAGATGTCTCCAACTCTAACAATGTGGATCATTCTAGTCTTCTTCCCTTGCTTGTCAGTAACCTCCCACTCCATCACAATCCATTACTTGCTTGTTCAACTCCAGAATACTTACATACTGGTTTCAGAATTTTTAACCCATAGGCCTAGAGGAAAAAACTTCATCTATTAGAGTTCAGTGCTTATGTGCAGTACCTTTTACTTTAGTCTTACAAATGCCACTCATTTCCAAAGTTACTGTGGTTAGCACCTTTTTCTCCTATACCCTTTAGTGAGGTTATCTCATATATTTGTAATAAAGTCACCTGCTTTTGCCACAATACCTGCATCCCATTTTGGCATCTCATGATCAACTAGATTTTTTAAAATAAATTTACAAGCATTAAGTCTCACTCTTTGTGCTGTACATTTCTATGGGTATTGGCAAATGCATAGTATCACATCCCACCATTACTATTGTTGTAAAGATTTGTTTGACCTAAAAAATCCCCTACGCTTTATTCAATACTTCCTCCTTTCCAAACCCCTTGGCAACTCCGCTTGTGTTTACCATCTCTGTAGCTTTGTCTTTTCTAGAATGTCATATAATTGGAGTTATTCCATATGTAGCCTTTCCAGATTGTCTTTTTTTTTTTTTTCACTTAGCAATCTACATCTATGTTTCTGTATGGCTTGATGCTGTGTTACTTTTTATCACTGAATAATATTCCACTCCATGGATGTGCCACTGTTTATCTATTCACTGATTGAAGGACATCTTGGCTTACTTCCAGGTTTAGCAACTATAAATAAAGCTGCTGTAAACATTTGCATGCAGATTTTTGTGGATATGTTTTATTTAAATCAGATTGGTAAATACAGAGTAGATTGATTGCTGAATTTTATGGAAAGACTATATGTTTAGCTTTGTAAGAAACTGTCAAACTGTTTTCCAAAGTAGCTTACCATTTTCATTCCCACCAGCAATGAATGAGAGTTTCTGTTGCTCTGAATGCTCACCAGAAGTTAATATTGCCAGTTTTTTGAATTTTAGTTCTCCAGTAGGTATGTAGAGTTAGCTCATTGTTGTTTTAATTTGCATTTCCATAATGAAAAAATGATGTCGAACATTTTTTCATATGCTTTTATATATATATATATATTTACACATATATATGTATGTGTGTATATTTGGTGAAGTGTCTGTTCATATCTTTTGCTTATTTTTTAATTGGGTTTTTTAAAATTGTTGAGTTTTAAGAGTTCTTTGTATAGTTGGTATTCAAGTCCTTTATCAGATGTGTTTTGTGAATATATTTTTCCAGAGTATGATTTTTGATTCTCTGAACATTTTCATTCACAGAACAAAACCTTTTAATTTTAATAAAGTCAAACCTATCAATTTCTTCTTTCATAGATTATGCTTTTGGTATTGTACGTCATCATCAAAACCAAGGTCATATAGGTTTTATAAAATATTTTCTTCTAGAAGTTTTATAATTTCATATTTGTACATATAGGTCTATGATTAATTTTGAGTTAATTTTTGGGCAAAGTATAAGACGTGTGTCTAGATTTTTTCTTTGTGATATTTTATTCATTATCCATTTTCTATATTTGTCTTTACAATATAAGTTATGGAAATTGTTGATATAATCTGAGTATTACTTCTTTACCAGTTACGTGTTTTACAAATATTTTCTTCCAGCTGTAGTCTGTGAGTTGCTTTAAATTATTTTCTTGATTTCTTTTTATAATATACTCATTGGCATAATATTATTCACATACACAACTTCAGACACTATTCACATTGTATTTTACTGAACATCGCAATCCTGTGTACAGAAATTTTAAGCCTAATTTTACAGATGACGAATTAATAATTCTTGTCTTTATGATTAGACTTTTGTCTGATCTCTGAAATTCCTTTCTATTTTGAGAAAAAAAAAGTATCTTATTCTTTTTTCTTCTGAATTAAAAAATGTATTAACATTTAAAATATTATTACACATAAAGTTTATTTTTAAATAAAGTATCAGATAGAGATACTGTTCAATTTTTTTCCAATATGGATAAATAATTATTCCGACAACATTTATTACCTAGTCTCCGATTTTCCTGTTGATTGATGGTCACCTCTGATGTGTATGAATTTCCTTCACATGTGTTTGATGAGGCTTTTTCTTTTGGGTTTTGTTTTTTTATTTTGGCCCATTTCTCTAAATTTTCACCAACGAAATACCCTTATATTCACATTAAATACATTTAAAATTTCAAAATTTTAGTTGGGTGAGTTTCTACTTATACTTCTTAAGATTCATCTTGGTTCCTCTTTGTTGGGCAGATGCTACAGAAAACAGTATGGAGGTTCCTCAAAAAATTAGAATTAGGACTATTGTATGATCCAGTAATTTCACTTCTGAGTATTAATCAAAAGGAATTGAAATCAGGATTCTGAAGAGATGTTAATACTGCTGTGTTCAATACAGCACTATTCACGAATAGCCAAGATGTGGAAGCAACATAAATGTCTATTGACAGATAAATGGATAAAGAAAAAATACTATATACAAACAATGAAATACTGTTGAGCCTTTGAAAAGAAGAATTCTGAAATATGCAACAATATAGATGAACTTTGAGGACATTATGCTTAGTGAAATAAGCCAGACACAGAAAGACAAATATTTCAGGATTCTACTTTTATGAAGTCTGTAAAATAGTCAAATTCATAGAGTCAAAAAGTGTACTAGTGTACTGGTGGCTGCCAGAGGCAAGGAAGAGGGTAAAATGGGGTTGCTGTTGTGAAAGGAAAAGAAATCTCAGGACCCCTAAATCAGTAAACCAAAGGGAAGAGTCAAGCTGGGAACTGCGTTGAGCAAACTTGCCTCCCATTTTATTCCTAAATAAGATAGCTACAAAGATAAAAGAAAAAAAGGTACATACCTCCTCATAATTTGCCCACAAGGAAATTCCCTGTCATCCTCAAGATCTTTACCCAAAAACAGTTCTGTCGAATTTCACCCTGGCAATGTAAATTGATAACTTGTCTTCACAGTTGTAGGACAAAGGACAGAACTCAAAGTCATCCCTTTGCTCATCTGAGACAAATGCGTATCTGATTGCTTCCTTTGCCCTTGCATTTATGGAAAAATGCAGATTCATTCAGCCAGACTAATGCATACGTGACTATTCCTCTACCTTCCTCTCACATGTAAGTTGTGTATTCAGTGAAAGGCTCATCAAAGACTCAAAAGAATACAACCATTTGTCTATTACCTACCTATGACCTGGAAGCCCCTGTGATATGGTTTGGATCTGTGTCCGTACCCAAATCTCATGTTGAATTGTAATCCACAATGTTGGAGGTGGGGCCTGGTGGGAGACAAGTAAATCTAGAGGGCAGATTTCCCACCTGGTACTGTTCTTGTGGTAGTGAGTGAGTTCTTGTGAGACCTGGTAGTTTAAAAGTTTGTGGCACTTCCCCCTACTCTCTCTCTTGCTCTGACTACCGTCATGTAAGGGGTACCTGCTTCACTTTTGCCTCCTGTCATGATTGTAAGTTTCCTCAGGCCTCCTCAGAAGTTACGCAGACACCAGCATTGTGCTTCCTGTATAGCCTGTGGAAACGTGAGCCAATTAAACCTCTTTTCTTTATAAATTATCCAATCTCAGGTATTTATTTATAGCAGTGCAAGAATGGACTACTACAGAAAATTGGTACCAGAGAAGTGAGAAATAACCATAAAGATACCTGAAAATGTGGAAGCAGCTTTGGAACTAGGTAACAAACAGAGGCTGGAAGAGTGTGGAGGGCTCAGAAGAAGATAGGAAGGTGAGGGAAAATTTGAAAGTTCCTAAAGACTTGTTGAGTGTTGGTGACCAAAATACTAATAGTGATATGGACAATGAATTTCAGGCTGAGGTCTCTGATGGAAATGAGGAACTTACTGGGAACTGGAATAAATGTTTTGCTACGCTTTAGTGAGGAGCCTGGCTGCATTATGCCTCTAGATTTGAGATCTGTGGAACCTTTAACTTGAGAGAGGAAATTTAGAGTATCTAACAGAATAAATTTCTAAGCAGTAAAGCATTCAAGATATGGCCTGGATGCTTCTAATATCCTGCACTCATATGCATGAGCAAATAAATGACCTGAAACTGGAACTTATATTTAAAAAGGAAGCAGAGTGTAAAAGTCTGGAAAATTTGCAGCCTGGCCATGCAGTAGAAAAGAAAAGCCCATTTTCCTGGACAAAAAATTCAAGCAGGCTGTAGAAATTTGCATAAGTAATAAGGAGCCAAATGCTAATAGCCAAGACAATGGGGAAAAGGCCTCCAAGACATTTTGGAGATCTTTGTGGCAGCCCCTCCCTTCACAGGCCTGGAGGTATAGGAGGACTGAATGGTTTCATGGGCCAGTGCTAGCGCCCCACTGCCCTGAACAGCCTCGAGACACCACTTCTGCATCCAGGCCACTCTAGCTTTAGCTGTGGCTCAGAGGGGTCCAGGTACAGCTTGGGCCACTACTTTAGAGGGTGCAAGTCATAAGCCTTGGCTGCTTCCACATTGTGTTAAGCCTGCAAGTGCACAGAATGCAAGAGTAAAGGTTGGGAGCCTCTGTCTATATTTCAGAGGATGTATGGAAAAGCCTGGATGTCCAGGAAGAAGCGTGCTGCAAAGGTGGAACCCTCATGGGGAACATCTACTAAGGTAGTGTGGACGGGAGCCACTCCTGATGTGGAGGGGAGCCCCTGTGGGGTTGGAGCCCCCACACAGAGTCCCCACTGGAGCACCGCCAAGAGGAACTGTAAGAAGAGGGCCACCATCCTCCAAACCCCTGAATGATAGATCTACTGATGGCTTGCACCTTGCACCTGGAAAAGCCACAGGCACTCAATGCCAGCCCTTGAGGACAGCCTTGTGGACTGAACCCTGCAAACCACAGGGGTGGGGCTGTCCAAGGCCTTGGGGACTTGCCCCTTGCATCAGTGTGCTCTGGATGTGAGGCACGAAGTCAAAGGAGACCATTTGGAAACTTCAAGATTTAATGACTGACCTGCTGGGTTTCGGACTTGTGTGGGGACTATAGCCCTTTCTTTTGGCTGATTTCTTTCTTTTGGAATGGAAGCACTTACCCAGTATTTATACCCATTGTATCTTGGGAGTAATTAACTTGTTATTGATTTTACAGGTTCATAGGCAGAAGGGACCTGACTTGTCTCAGATGAGACTTTGGACTTTAGATTTTTGAGTTAATGCTAGAATGAGTTAAGACTTTTGGGTACTGCTCAGAAGGCATGATTGTATTTTGCAATGTGAGAAGGACATGAGATTTGGAAGGGGCCAGTGAGAGAATGATATGGTTTTGATCTGTGACCCTACCCGAAGCTCATGTTCAGTTGTAATCCCCAATGTTGTAGGGGGAGGCCTGGTGGGAGGTGACTGGATCATGGAGGTGGATTTCCCACTTGATGCTGTTCTTGTGGTAGTGAGTGAGTTCTTGTGAGATCTTGTTGTTTAAAAGTATATGGCACCTCCCACTACTCTCTCTCTTGCTCCTGTTCTGGCTATGTAAGATGTGCCTGGTTCTCCTTTGCCTTCTGTCATAATTGTAAGTTTCCTAAGGCCTCCCCAGGAGCTGAGCAGATGCTGCATCATGCTTCCTGTACAGACTACAGAACCGTGAGGCAATTAAACCCCTTTTCTTTGTAAATGACCCAGTTTCAGGTATTTCTTTGTAGCAGTCCAAGAATGGACTAATATGCCCTGCTTTGAGTTGTGCCCCCTTTCTGGACTGAACTTATGTACATGTTACACATATTGATTGATGTCTCATATCTCCTTAAAATGTGTAAAACCAAGCTGTACGCTGACCACCTTGAGCACATGTCATCAGGACCTCCTGAGGCCATTTCACAGGTACATTCTTTACCTAGGCAAAATAAACTTTCTAAATTGATTGAGACCTGTTCCAGATACTTTTGGTTCACACTGTTCAATGGACATAAAGTTTCAGTCAAAAAAGATGAATAAGCTCTAGATATCTGCTGTACAATGTTGTGCCTATTGTACCTATAGTAAACAGTTCTCATGTTAAATGTTCTAGCCAAAATAAAAAAATTAAACATTGAATTTTACTTATCAAGTTCCATTAAAAACAAATTGAATTTTTTTAGAATTGCATTGAATGTATAGATTAATTTGGGCAGAATTGCTATATTTCAGATTTTGAATATTTCCACCCATATATATGGTATATCTACCCATATGTTTTATTTTAATATTTTTCATGTTCCTTAATAATGTTTATTTTTTCTTTTCTGTAAATGTAGCACATATATATTATATATATTATATATTATATATTATATATTTTATATATATAATATATATATTATATATAATATATATTATATATAATATATATATATAATATATATATTTAAATCTATTCCTGGGTATCTTATAATGCTTGTTGCTGTTGTGAATAGTTTGTGTGTTTAAATTGATGGTTTCAAGCATGTAAGGAAAGTGTCCATTTTTATATATTTATCTTACAGCTAGCTAACTTGATTTACTCTTTTATCAGTTCTGATATTCTGTACATTTTTCTGCATGATTACCTCATCAGTCAAAAATGACATTGTTTTCTTTACTAATCTTTATTTTTAAGTTGTATTATGTAGTATTTTCAAGGACCACCTACAATGTTGAATAGAGGCAGTGATACCAAGCACATTTCTCTTGATTAAAAAATACTACTTCTAAAATGTCACTGGAAAATTGTATTAGCTATAGAGTTTATTAGAAACACTTTTCAAATTAAGGATATTATGTTCTATCACTAGTTTGCTAAAACGTTTGCACCAAAAATCAGGGTTTAACTCCTCTGCTACTTATTTTTTACATATGTTTCAACAGTAACAAACCTTTTCATCTTATAATGTGATGAATTATATTCAATCATATATTCTGTCCATAAATATTTATTGAGTATCTATCACTAGAATCAGGTATTAAAGAGAGCTAGGAAAATAGAAAATGGTAGTCAGAGAATTGAATGCATGCAGCTGAGATTGAATAGAGATTGCAATTACAGAAATGTAAATTCTGATATATAACCATGGGAATGAATGCCTGAGGTAGCATGGAGGACAAGATTATCTGAGGAGAGGTGTCCAAAGAATTAATGAATGTTGGGAGAATCATCTTAATATATATTTTGGAATCACTAAGAATTAAGATAGAAATAGCGTTGCATATACTGAACCAAGAACTATAATCATTAAGACATGAAGGGGCGTTAAGTAGATGATAGCAACAAGGAATTAAAGTGGTAGTGTAATCTGAGGCCACAAGGTTCAGAGCTGGGAGATTTAAGGGAGTAGGAAAGGAGAATGGCTTAAAAGTGGCAATAATAGACAAAGAGGATACATGTTCCTCCTCCAGTTAAGAGGGGTAGCTATGTGGAAACAGCATCTCAGGGGAGAGTCAAGTGGCTCTAAGAATAAGAAGATCAAGAACAGTTAGAGGAAGTTTTTTACATATAGGCAAATTTGCTAATAATTGACAGTGGATTCCAGAGATCATGGTAAAAGAAAATGTAAGAAATGAAGTGAGTTAAGGAGATGGGGATAGAATAGGAAATATTTAAAGGACCTATGGAGGTTAGAGAAAAGGAGCTGATGGTGACTCAGTGGTCTGGTCTTCTATAATAACAGTGTATAATGAGCATAACTGAGACTCCACAAGTACAACACAGAAAATGAGAAGGAGCCTATGTGTATTGGTGAGGTAAGGAGGGGTGCCTGTCTTGTTTCTATTTTGATCCTGTTAAAACGGACCAAAATGTCTGGGGGAGAATTGACTTAGTTCCACTTGGAGTCTGTCCTTCTCTGTGCTGGTGAGCCTCCTCTTGACTCCTGACCATGGAGGATAAAGTCTGAGGATACAGGGTGTGGCCATTTTTCCAATGAGTGGGGCCCAGTTTGGATCTCTATAGGTGAGAGTGGCCTGTGTCCCACATTCACGGCTGATGACAAAGAATGACTGGGGGAACTTAGTTTGCATCTACCATGAGGATGTCCTCTTGGCCTCTGAAAACTGTGGGATGAGAAAGGTAGAAAGATTTCTTTACTCTATATGAAGTATATCAGCATCTGTGTTAATAGTGGAAACTGTCTATAATTTTCTCTGGCTTTCATGTATCAGAATCAAGGTCATCCTAGCCTCATAAAACAAGTTGGGGAGAATTCCTTCTTTTATTGTTCTCTGGAATGGTTTGTGTAAGACAGGGCTTTTGTGTTCCTTGAAGGCGTAGTAAAAGTTGTCTATAAAACTGTTGGAGCCTGATGGTGTTGATATTTGGGTTTGTGGGAAGGGGAAGATATGAAAAGGTGGGGGTAGGGAGATGGATTTTTTTAAACTCCCAACCTAATTTCTTTAATAGATGATCAATTTCTCTAATATTTCTTTGCTTAGCCTTGATAATTTACTCATTTTTCTAAGAAATTGTTCATTGCATGTTTGTTTTCAAATTTATTGGCATAAAACTTTTTCTAACATTCTTTAAAGTTGGGGAAAAGTTTCTACTGTTCTACCATACCTGTAGTTTTATCCCTCTTTTTATCTTGTTTTTTCTTCTTTTTTTTTGACTAGCTTTGTGATGGATTTGACTATTTATTAGCCTTTCAAAGAATAATTTGATTATTATCAAATTATTTAGATTTACTGTTTTTCTCTTTTTTATTTTGTTTGTCTATATTATTTCCTTCCTCTAACTTTCTTTAGATTATCTTCTTAAATTGCACATTTAACTTACAGCATGTCATTCTTAATTTTGTATGTCTATATCTATATTTATTTGTAGGGACACATATCCCTGTAAGCATTGCTTTAGTTGCCTACTAAAAGTTTTATATATGATTATTTCAGCCTCTGTTTTTTTATTTCTTTTTTATTTCTGGCAGCTGGGCATTTGTCTTTCTTGTGAGCTCATTTGTATGTTTTCCATACTTTTCTGTTGGTAATATTTTATTTGTGGTTCCACAAATAAAATATATTTCAACCATGTTACTGAGATTGGAACACTAATATACTTCTTAGAGTTGATAATGATATATATATGTGTATCATTCTATGATATATACATATATGTATATAATATATGATATATAGATATATATCATATGTTACATATATTTATAATGATATATGTATCATTATCAACTCTAAGAAGTATATTAGTTTTCCAATCTCAGTAACATGGTGGAAACATTTTTTTTGATATATAATGTGATATGTATCATTATCAACTCTAAGAAGTATATTCATTATATATAGGACATATATATCATATCACATCAACTGTATATATGTATCATATCAATTTCAGCATATCTATCTATATATAGAACTAGGAGAAAAATAATACAGCATTAATATTGAGTTTTCTGAAAAATACGATCTCCAAGTCAAAGAATAAAAGTAAATGGATTTATCAATGGGGTATTTTAATGATCAGGCATTAAAAAGACAGACTTTTAAAATGATCAGTCTAAATTATAAGTCAAGCAGGTGGTAGCATTTTGATTTCTGCATCTGCAAACTGGGAATGAGAAAGTCTACTTCCTTGTAGTGAGGATAAAGTGAAAATGGTAGGGAAAATACTTTAAAAAGTAAGCACAATGTTACAACACAGCATATGAAAATTCTAGTTTCCAAGTACTTGGAGTCAGATATAATGAGATGTATGTCAATGTGTTTTGTAGACCATAGAGCAGTGATATGATATGATATGATTGATATGATATGATATGATATGATATGATATGATATGATATGATACACGATAGGGTTTGGTGGTGTCCCCATCCACTTCTCAGTTTGAATTGTAGCTCCTATAATTCCCATGTGTTGTGGGAGGGTCCTGGTGGGAGATAATTGAATCATGGGGGCAGTTTCCTTCATACTGTTCTTGTGGTAGTGAATAAGTCTCAAGAGATCTGACGATTTTATAAGGGATTTCCCCTTTTGCTTGATCCTCATTCTCTCTTGCCTTCTGCCATGATTGTGAGGCCTCCCCAGCCATGTGGAACTGTGAGTCCATTAGACCTCTTTCTCTTTATAAATTACCCATGCTGAGTATGTCTTTATCAACAGCATGCAAATGGACTAATACAATACACAACACGATTATTATTTTTAAGTACCTATTTCTAGAAAAAGTTATTTGAATCCTTTAAGTTTTTACACTCTAACAAAATTAGCATATTTAGAAAATGTACTAAACACTTTAAATGTTCCACTAGGTGACATCAATGGGAAAATGCTTGTGAACAAATTCAGGTAGGAAGGAATAAAGAGCTTGTTGTGTGAGAGGTGTCTATGAAGTTTCAGTCTTATTCCCTCTATCTAGGTATTGATTCAGGGCACTATCTTTTTTTTTCCTTTTTTTTTTTTTGAGATGGAGTCTCACTCTGTTGCCCAGGCTGGAGTGCAGTGTCATGATCTCAGCTCGCTGAAGCCTCTGCCTCCGGGGTTCAAGCAATTCTCCAGCCTCAGCCTCCCAAGTAGCTGGGATTACAGGCATGCACCACCATGCCCAGCTATTTATTTTTTTAGTTTTTAATTTTTAGTAGATATGGGGTTTTACCATGTTGACCAGGCTGGTCTCAAACTCCTGACCTCAGGTGATCTGCCTGCCTTGGCTTCACACCTGGAATTACAGATGTGAGCCGCTGCACCCAACCAGGGCACTACCTTTTAAAGGTTCTACCACATTCCTTTGTATGTCCTTGCTGACATTCATTTTCTTTACATTTTAACTATTATCAAATCATTTTTTTTCTTGGAAATAGACAGGTTATAAGTGATTAATCAAAATTATCAATGAAACCTAATATGTACACATAGATTGATAGAAGGGGGAATGTTTTATTTCTCCTCTTAAACTGAGGAATTTACTAGATGTGAGGTGTTTTAATCAAATTCTAAACCATAGCTATCTTTGCTTCCTGAATACAAAGTTCTAGTAATAAAGTAACTCAAAACTGACCCCCTCTCAAATGGATGATCCAAGTTATGACAGCTGATTCATCTCTTTTGATGCATAGAAGTTATTCTCTTCAGAGTCAGATGTGTACTCAGCATTCCTCTGCATTTTGGATATTATAATTTTCAAAAGAGTAATATAATGGTAATTACTTCTCTTGACAATTACTCACAAATAAATCACATGTATAGAGTTAAATGCCTTTCTATTTATTCTATTTTTACATCTGGACACAAGTTAAGTACTCCTCATGGTACCATAGCTTTTATGAAAAGATTTGTAAAAAATTTTCTGTGGCACTATTAGTCTGACTATCATGCATTCCTCTATTCATCAGTCAACAAATAAGGGTAGAAAAGTTATTATCCTTCCAGATCTGCTCCTAACCTTCATCCTACATGAAGCCTGCTCTGGTAATTCTAGTTTGCCGAAACCTCTCATTTGAGTATCTGTAGAGTCTCCTTGGGCACTGAACATGCCTGCCCTGGTTCCTCTCCTGAACTACTAGGGAATATCCAAGTGCTTATGCTGTTGATGTAGATCTGTGAAAAGGAAGCTTGCAAAATGTTAGGCTGCTGCTTCCCTGATGAGAATCAAAATAGCAATATATTTGCAAACATAAACTTCTGTCCATGAGATTTTGATATAATTACCATGAATCCCCTCCACACACTAATCCAAGTACTGTGGGAGGGCAGTGGTGTCTGCACATATGTTTGCAAATTTTCAAGGCCTCTGTTTTGTCCAAAAAGTTTTCACTGGAATTACTTGCATACACTGGATTTACTTGCATACACTGGATTCTCCATTCCACACTATTTTTCCCTATTCTTTTTCTTTTTATCTTATCTTAATATTCACCTAAACAGGGGACCCCCAATTCTTTCTCCCTGATATAATTTCCTAAATACCGTTATTTCTCTGTCATCTCCATCAGCCTCCTCCTTGACATAATCAAAAGACACAATTTTGGTAATAAAACAGTGTTGAACCAGTTTATCTTACAGCTCTGTCAGATAATTTCCATAGAATATAAAAATTCCTACTCCAGAAAATTCCCTTGGTCTTTTTCACCAACTAAGACTCCAGTTTCTCAATACGTTTCTCTGTAGCTTCCCACTCCTTCCCCAACGTCACTACCCTCCAGCAACTTCTCCACACCACTTTCCACTGGATCATGCAGAGCCCATTCCACATTCCCCTGCCTGAATTCCAGACTTAGTTCCTGATCTCTCTGTACTTATCCAAAAATACATTAATGTGCTCAGCTAAACAATGGTGAGTGTTATGCTTTTTCTCCTTCCCAATCAATCTCCAGGGAAAAGAACGAGGGCAGAGGGTTATTGCTTCCATGATATGGAATATGCCACCCTTCCTTCAGGGAAAATCATTATCTCTTCAGCACTGGGAGATGAATGGATCTTGGATGTTCATTCTGGAATAGTATCTGAAGATGGCCAAATCATATATGATAATTCTTCATTTCTAATTAGAGTAACCCTTCCTGATCTTTAAGCCTTAATTCCAGAGAAGGGTGTGTGTGTGTGTGTGTGTGTGTGTGTGTGTGTGTGTGTGTGTGTGAAAAGCAGGATTAAAGAAAGGAGGAGGCCAAAAGTGAGCTGACCATGAGACATTATAGAGTTATGATTATGACGTTTGGAGATGAACTTTCTGGCAATCACAGAAGCAAGGAAAACCTGGTGAGCTTCATCAACAGAACAGAGAAAATGCACTCATTCCTCAACAGATACACATTTTCTGAAATGTAATTGTAAAAATAACTTGCAATCAGATATGGTTGCATTTATTCTTGACAATAGTTTTACAACAAATTTTGAGCAGTTTCCATACAGCATCTGTTTTACTGACCCCCTCAGAAAAGCCAAAGAGATGGCATCATAGTATATCTTTGTGAAAGGCATACTGCTGTGGGTAAGGTAATTGGTTCAAGAAGTCTTCTAGTGACACCAAAGAAGGTGTAAATGGATTCAGAATTTGGTATCACTGAGACACTTCCCTCAGACAGAGGCTTGTGTACACAGGAATCTAAGTCTATTTGCTACAACATATGTTTGACCCTAACATGAGTCTGACTTGTATCTTATTTCATAGAGTTAAAATTCTTGGGAATTTAAATGATTCAGCCAAACTTATTCAGTTTCAGAATTCTGAGATTCTGAAGATTGTATAATATGTGGCAAGTTCTTGGTTAGACATTTCAATAACTGAACTTTTTGTTCTAACACTGATATCCTTTAGGGCTCCAGTAGGAAAAATTTAGGACTGGAGGAAACTAACATGCATGCAACAGGAATTACTCAGTAGGTGGAATCAGTCCTGTTAGCCCTATCTGTGCAGCCTCCAGTGGAAGACCCCTGTTTCTGTGTAGCTCAAGGCTGCGCTCAAGTTGGAGAGAAGATGATATAGGAGCATAACCAGCAAGCTCGGTGGGCTTGCAGGGACCCTGGGGAGCTCCTGATGGGAGCCGGCTGCCTCCGCGCTTACACAGCTGTAAGGCTCTTCATGTTCTTGGGCTGGCCTAGCACATGTGTGGCTTCAAAATGTTCAAACCTCAGGCCTCAAATAATCTTTTGTTCTGTTTTCCTGCTTTGTATGTTTGACTCAGTAGCTTTGTTTATTTTCATAAAGTATTTCCTTTTGGTTTGTGTTTCTTGGCATGGCCCAGTTTGGGATTTTCTACATGCAATCTTCTTGGGACCCCTTGCCATTCATAATGCCACACCTCCAGGAGGTCTGCAAGCTTTCAGATGATTTCCACTTCCTAAGGCTTGGGAGAGCACTAAGGACCATGATGCCTTCTCTTTTTGTACCTGAGGGGTGAGGGCTGTAGGGAACACAACTGTGTAGGGTCTGGAGCTTCCTCATTTACAGTGCAAGAGATGTACTCAAGCCAAAGAAATCTCATATTCTCATCTTCCAGCTGAACTTTTTTATCACTGATATTGGCAGTACTGACTCTTTGAAATTACAAGTTTTTTGACCTTATCTTTGGGGTCCTGCAACTAGTGGGTTCTTTAAAAGAAAGCCAGGCAGAAAGATAAGCTCTCACCAGCAGCCCCAAGTCCCAGAGAAAGCCTCAGCCTTTCTTTACATAGATCTACCAGCTTTTTTTCCCTTCCCCTGAGGAAAGACATAAAACCCTTTCCCCAAGATTGTCAACATTCCAAAGCAACTAGTCCTGCAGGTTCCCTGTGTGCAAATGGCCATTGCCCTTCTCTGGAGCTGAGCTCCAGGGTGGAAGCTCTTGGCTCCCTGAGCATCCCCTTCAAAGAGGAAAATACCAGTGCCTCCTGAACCAACAATGAGATATGTTTGACTAGTGGTGATGAAATGTCTTCTATAAACACTCCCTACCTTACCCACCTCCCCTTTCTAGGACTGATTCACCACTGAAATATTCGTGTCACCCAAGTTCAAGTACATGAAACCAAACCCTTTGGTGTCAGTTGTTCTTAAGTGCTGTAGAAAGCCACACAAACTTCACTGGCTAGGGAGGTAATTAAGCCAAAGCCAGCTGCTGGCCTCCAACAGGCCTTCGAGAACTACAAATGAGACCTGGGCCTGGGGCTTTCTGGGTCAGATCAATAGTGCCTGCTGGGAATCCATGTTGCACAGTGAATTACCCCCAAAAGTTCCTGGCCTTGCCCAGCCAGAATACATACTTTCAGCACAAGAAGAGATAGGACCAAGGCACCAACTAATGTGATTTTTGTCTTCTACCATCAGCAGACTATGTAATCTCATTATCTCAGGACCCTCTCCCTCAGAGCTTGGGATCCGAAATGAAGTTTAATTTTAAATTCTTATGTGAGTACAAGGCTTTTTTTTTTTTTTTTTTTTGACAAAGTCTCGCTCTGTTGCCAGGCTGGAGTGCAGTGGCAGGATCTTGGCTCACGGCAACCTCCGCCTCCTGGGTTCAAGCGGGCAACCTCTGCCTCCTGGGTTCAAGCGATTCTCCTGCCTCAGCCTCCTGAGTAGCTGGGACTACAGGCACACACCACCACGCCCAGCTAATTTTTGTATTTTTAGTAAAGATGTGGTTTCACCATGTTGGACAGGATGGTCTTGATCTCCTGACATCGTGATCTGCCTGCCTCGGCCTCCCAAAGTGCTGGGATTATAAGCATGAACCACCTCACCCAGCCTGAGTACAGAGCTTTTTACATATATTTTTAGAATAAAAATGACTGTAATGGGACTAGACTAATTATTTCCTTAGGGGAAATATATACATATATATATATACGTATATATATATGTGTATATATATACGTATATATATATATGTGTGTGTATATATATATGTATACATATATATATATATGAAGCACCCAATTTTTCTATATATTACAGGGGGCATTTTCAGCAGGAAGAGTGCCAGTATAAATCAAAACTCCCCTGGTTATGGAGAACACTGAACCCAAGCAAATTCTCCTGGGAGTCCCTAGTCATTGGGAAAGACACTATCCCTGAAGCAGGAGGAGTGATGACCCCCTTTCACAAACCTTAAATTTTATTTTCCCCTGAACACTATGTTAGATAAATCTTTACCTTCTCAGGAAAGTCTGTAGAAGTTCAGGTTATTTATGATCTAGCTACAGTATATTGTTTTTATTATTATAGTACTGAATGCTGCTGCAACTATATGTATTGAGCTGTTATTCTACCACAGATGTTATGCAACATAGACACTTTTAGGTGTAAATAAGCAAATTGGCATTTTCCAAGCTAGCGTTTTGAACCCTATTCTCAGGATGTCAATTAGGGTAATATGAAACAAAAACTTGTTATGTATTAAAATTGTTAGTAACAGCTGATGACAAGAACTTTAAAAGGTTTCTTTACCTTAGAATCTTCAATAACTGAGTGTGCATTGCAAATCTCCACCAGGGAGCCTTAGTGTGCTATATTTTCCAAATTTATTCTACAAAGTAACTTTATTTTTTCTTTTTTCAGGACTATTAACAACTCCTGAAATACTAAGCTATAGAACACAGTTTAGCAAAGTGGGTTAAGAAGAATTTCCTGTGATATAACTAAGCTAATTCAGCCAGTGTAGTTTAGCCTAGAAGGGGCTAGAAGATTGATAGAAGAAATCCGTATTTTAAAAATAATATTATTTATGGCCACTAAATAGAACATTTTAAAAACAGTGTCTTAAAAGAATTAATTTGTATGGACTGTCTAAGTAGCAAACAAGCAAACAAACAAACAAACAAACAAACACACACTCTGGCTATAGAACACTATTTTACTGGGCTTAATGTTGCTTGTGTGTGGCCCATGTCACCTTATGCCCTTTGGATTAGAAATACTTGTGTGGCTGACCTGGGAGATGGATCATCGAATATAAATTTACATGTGTAAGAACATCTGCTCTGAATTGTAAGGAGCTCACTTACAATTTCACCTTGGAAATATGACTTATTTGTAAGATGGCACTACCTGTAATGGAAAGCTAAACTTCCTACATCATGGGTGTGTAAGCAGATGTGTTCTCATTTAAGCTTTGCATTCCTTATCTACATTGGTCTAAATTAGTGAGGTGAGCCTATCCCCAGAGCTGACATGTGAATACAATGTGAGGAGAAAAACACTCCTTCTTCAGTGTTTCAGCCCTGTTTGCAGTTCCAATCACACCTTCTCATGTTACTGGTAAATCAGTCAAGCTCCTGGCCTGAGTTTGCAGCTCAGAGAAAGGCAACTTGTCCCTTGCTGAGCTAAGGGGCAGCCTCCAGGCTCCTTTTAATCTGATTGTTTTAATTCGATTTAATCTGCCCAGTAAATATTTTTCTTCAGCTGCAGAAAAGTGTAAATCAACCAAGTAGTTCATAATCTATGTACACAGTTAACAGAACTCACGCTGGCTGATGCAATGGGAGTTGATTTGCGTTTGCTTTTGCCAGGCAATCACCACAGTTCCCCACGGGGTAAGCATTTCATATGATGGTAATAACAGAAGCAGTACCTCACCCCATTATTAACTCCAATTCACTGATCAGTTACTATGTACTTGTAGCTTTCCGTTACCTTCATTATACTTGGGAAAGTAGGCATCGTTATCCCCATTTTACAGATGAGTTAAACGAGGTGCAGAAAGATTGAATGATGTGCCCAAGGTCTCCCCTAAGAGTTGGTGAAGCCAGCATTCAAACTCCAAGTATGCTCGATGCCAATACCTTTGCTCTTGCTGTTATACTACCACCATTCTGTCTATATAAAATGACACACACACAATTTTAACCTGTTCAGTTCTATGAGCTAACATCCTTGAGCTGACTCAATAGACTTGGCTGGGATTTGTTTTTTTAATGCCAAGCATCTGAGAATCAAGATCAAATTGGACCTTTCAAATTTCTTCCAAAATTCCCATGGAGACACAGACGACGATAATTCAAACATCTACTAACATTTAGTACTAACATCTAAATTTTATCCAGAACCTGGAGGCACTTGTGCAACTGCAAGACCATGAGCCTGTATAGAAGAACATCATCTGAGGCCTGCTTCTGTGATGTTTCTAGGGAAACTGAAAACCTGCACCCACTAAAGCAGGGAGGAAGACTATTTACCCATCAATCCAGAATAATCAAACCCTCATCACAGCTCAAGACCCCTCTGCTTCACAGGGGTTAGTGTTTGAAGCAACCAGGAGGGGGAGGGCTGAGCTGTGGCCTGGGTGTAGTGATGGAGAAGGATGTTGAGAAGGAGTAGGAGGAGTAAGTAAAAGTATGTTAAACATTTTACATGCAGGGAGAATCAAAGTTGACAGCAATAATAATAACAGCAATGTATTGAGTATACACATAAAATGATGCCTTTTCAAAGACATGCTTGTAAGTTTGACTCAGAGCTTAGAAAACTTAGCAAAGGAGTATTTTCTTTTTCCTTAGGGGATAAGAAGATTGATCTGAGGTCAGAAAAAATTGAGTTTGAGTCTCATTATGCTACTTTCTTTTTTGAGACGGAGTCTCACGCAGTTGCCCAGGCTTGAGTGCAGTGGCACCATCTCAGTTCACTGCAACCTCTGTCTCCCAGGTTCAAGCAGTTCTCGTGCCTTAACCTCCCAAGTAGCTGGGATTACAGGAACCTGCCATCAGACGCAGCTAATTTTTTTTTTTTTTTTTTTTTTTTGTGGAGATGGGGTTTCACCTTGTTGGCCAGGCTGGTCTCGAATTCCTGACCTCAAGTGATTCACCTACCTTGGCCTCCCAAAGTGCTGGGATTATTGGTGTGAGCCACTGTGCCTGGCCTCATTCTGATCTTTACTAGTTATGTGACTTTCACAAGTCATTTACCTTTCGTGAACCTCAGTTTACGGAACTGTCAAATGAGAATAATAATACCCATTTTCGAAGGATGCTGTAAGAATTAAATGAGGTAATACATAGAGTATTCATAGCCTGGCATTTTGCTATCATTTAAAACTGGCAGCAATAATAATATTTGAGGCCTTGTTCTTGTATTACAATTGGGCCACAAAACAATTTGTCAAGGTAAATAGAAGAAATAGACCCAGAGCCTGCACATGGCTACCAGCACAAAGGCTGTATTTAAATTGAAATAATTATTCTAGTCCTAGTTAATGCTTTTTCAATTATAGCTCCATGTTTTGTCTTGACTTTCTTAGACTGATAGATATATGTTTAAGAATATTTTTGAAAATCTTAAAAGTAATCATTAAAAGAATTAAAACCATATGTGTGCCTATTAAAGTTTGGGGAGATATAAAAGCAAAGACCTCCAACTTGAAAAAAGTAAAAGAAATATGAAAAATACATCCCAAATATAAAGTACACACACAGAAAAAAAGGTGACAGAAGAATAACACAAATTAATTGTTAAATAAAGACAAATGAGTTTAACATTCTTATTACAATACAGCCTCCTTTGGGGAACAAAAATAATATTAGTAAAACAAATGTCTGCTCTTTATAAGGGTAAATCTTGAAACAAAATGACAGAAGAATAGATCAGAATAGTAAGATGGGCAAAGATTTTTCCAGTAAATGCAAACAGAAGAGCTTAATGTTGGGTAAATTGATTGCATCTTGCAATTCTAATTTGTGTTCTGTCAGTTATAAATGAAGTTGGACATCTTTCATAAATTTTCCAGTTCAATTTTTTTCTTATAAACTTCCTGCTCACAATTCTTCCTCAATTTTCTATTGTATTTTTTGACTTTGTAACTGATTTATTAGAGTCCTCTATGTTAGTCCTTAATTGTATGTGTTTCAAAAAAATTTTCTCATTTGTCATTTGTCTTCGGACTTTCTCACAACAGTTTCTAAATTTATGTGCACAAGACTGTTTATCACAACTTATTTTTAATAATACGAACCTGAAGAATACTCTTCTATATAAATATTAGGGTCAACTTTCAACTTGCTTTTTTCACAAGAACCTCATGGGGCATATTAAAGAAATCATATTGAATCAACAGAATTATTTATGGAAAATTGATTTATATATGTTATTAAGTTTTTTCATCTGTGATTTACATATCAGTTTGTCATTTATTTCCAAGTATTTGTAGTTTCCATTAAAATTTGATCTTCAAACCACACACTATTTAGAATTGCTTTTTTGTTTTTTTGAAATTCCAAATGTATGAGATTTTGGGGAAGCATAGTTTATCACTTTTAATTTTATCAAATTTTAGTTACAGACAATGGTTTGTGCCTTATAAATTATTTGGTATTTATTGACATTCCTTATTGATTAATACTGTATTAGTTTTCTATTGCTGCATAACAAATCATCCCAAACTTCATAACCTAAAATGACACCCATTTATTAGCTCATATAGTTCTATAGTTCAGAAAACTGGCACAGAGCAGCTGAGTTCTCTGCTCATGGTCTCACAGTGCAGGAATTGTAGTATCAGCTGATCTTGTCTGGAGGCTCTGGGAAATAATCTGCTTCCAAGCTCATTCCTGTTGGTACAGTTCAGTTCTTTGTGGGTGTAGGACTGAGGTTCCTAGCTACATCTGCCAGCTATCAGCTGGAGATCACTCTTAGCTCCTAGAGGCCATATGCATGAAGAGCCTCATGACCCCATCCATCTTTAAAGCCAGCAACAGAAAATTTCTTTTGTATCAAATCATCTTCATACTTTGAATCTCTGGATTGTCCTGTTTCTGACCTCTAGACCCAGATTTAAAGGGCTCATGGAGCTGGGTCAAGCCCACTTGGATAATTTATCTATTTTAAGGTCAACTGATTTGGCGCCTTAATTACATCTGCAAAATCATTTTACAGCAGTACCAAGATTAGTGTTTGATTGAATAACTGGGTGTATGTACACCAGGTTTTGGGCTCTTGGAGGCCCTCTTAGAATTCTGCCTGCCATAGACGTGTGCTTGAAAAGCCTACATTTTATATATATACCGTGTTCAGTGTTTCATAAATGTCTATTTGATCAAACTTACTGTGACCTCAAATCTTCTATGTCCTTACAAATTGCACAGGTTTTAATGTGTCTGAAACAATGTTTATATTAATATCTTGACATTCATGAAAGTAGTGTAGTCAAATCAGTGAAATTTAAGACAGAGAAATTAGTGCCATTTAAGACACTTGCATTTTATCTCACAAATATATATATATTTTATCTCACAAATATATATATACATACATATATATATATATTTGTCTACACAGTTCTCTAAGAACTTAGGGAGAATCAATTCCTTCCTATTTCACAGATACATCAGATAATGATACTCTACTCTTGGGCATAGAAAGGTTGTTGCTTCACCAATTCCATTCTCCAATAACTCTAAAGCATCCTGCAGGATCCTCTTCAGTCATCTCTTCATATAATACCTGACCCCCAACATCTTATAGTCCTTCACTTATTTGTCGTCAATTCTTCCTCTCTCCTTCCTTCCTTTCCTCCTTCCCGTCTTCCCATAGTAAGCTTTTGTTACACACACACACACACACACATTTGTGAGCAGGTGCGTGTGTGAATCTTTAATTATATCTCCTCTTTTCTTATTCAGCTATACTATACTGCCTATGATTGGGTGTGAAGATTGGGAAGAAACATGTGTTTTAGGTTAACATTGTGTTCCTAGTATCCAGGATAGTTCCTGTTCCATAGTGCTGTTCAAATATTTGTTGAATTAGTAATGGATATTATTTATAAACAAATGGATAAATAGATAACTGTTTATAAAGTGTCCATGATGAGGCAAGGCTTTCATTCAATTATAATGACACTTAAGGTGTCATTATAATTTATAATTATAAATTATATATGTTTATAAGTTTATATCTCTGCTTTCCCCATTTGCCTATAGAATCTCTTCACTGCTGAAGTCATCCTAGTCTACAATATTACCAATTTCTTACCTGGATTACTGTAATAGTCTCCTCAGTGCTTTCCCTGCATTCTGGTTCCCTGGCTTCAAATCCATCCTCCATACAGCAGTCAAAGTGAGCTCTTAAAACTGTAAATCACATTATTTCACCACTATGCTTAAAACCTTTTTAAAAAAATAAAGTCTAAATTAATGTATAAGGGGCAACCGTACATACCAGTTTGCCTGGCACACTTCTATTTATGCTTACTATCCTAACATAAATCCTACTCCAAATGCCTAGATGTCAGTCTATGACCCATGGGTAAAATGTCTAGTTTTTGAGGACATCCTGAAACTGGCTTAAAGACTTAAATGGCCTGGCCCTTTAACATGTGCTTGGTATAGATATGAGTGAATTAGTGTTGGCTGGGGATTGCATGGCCTAGAGCTCCTTTTGGGTATCTTTGTTGTTTTTCAGCCTCACCTCTGCAAGAGCCTTTGTAACTGAGTAGCTGAATGATAGTAACACCCTGTTGATTTTTTTAGCTGTCCCCAGAGTAGTCTTTGTTCACACGCAGGGTGGGCAGCACTCATTGAACTCGATACATGTGAGCCACTTTGTTCAGCTTTGACAACATCCCAAAATTTTCCGCTATGTGTTCTTCTAAAAGTTGATAATATTTTTGACATGATTCCTAAATATATTGATCATTGATACTGATTGTTACCACTCATAGAACATTAGTGTCAGTGAAAAATCATACTTTATTTTATTTTATTAGCATATTAGCAGTGTAAGCATTTTTATTAAGACAGTAGTCTTTCCCTAGAGCACATCATGAAACAGTCAATACTTCCTTTGACCAAGGCTAGTACTTGAAAACATAACTCTTTAGGCTTAACATGTCTAGTTATCTAGCAGCTAGGTAAACAATGATCAGTTTGGGTTGAATATATAGGGTGCCAAGTATTAAATTGTTTGTTGTAAATATAATTTCTGAGCAAGAAAATCATGCCTCCTTCCTTGAGCATTTGAGATTTTAAGATAAAAATGACAGAGCTCCCTGCCTTATAAGACTTACAGCTTATAAAAAAGATAGCTTTTACAGACAAACATTGTAATAATATTCTAGAAAAAATGGCTTGCATGATGTCTGGCATACAGATGGCATTCAAATATGTACTACTTGAATAAATAAAATAAAGCATGCATGAGATATTAAATAAAAGTACAAAGATTGAGGGAAGCATAGCAGAAAGCACTTTCTGCATGGGAAGTTAGCAAAAGCATCACAAGCCATGGTTGCACGGAGACCGACCTCTGGAGCTTGTGTGTGAGCCGACTAGATGGAGAAGGCTGGAGAAGGTGTCCTGGGCAGGTGGAATTGCTTGGCAAATGTGTGGAGCTGTACTGAAAACAAAACCATGCATGGCATGTGCAGGAAGTTGAGTAGGAGTTCAATGATCTGGAAAGGGTCCTCAAAATTTCGTGGGTAATGTTTTATCAGGATGAGAAGTAATGGCTTTGACAGCACTGATGTCCATAATACAAGTTGATTGTGCTTCAGAATGTAGGCTATTGATATTTCTCCCTGGTCCATGCAGGATTCGATGACACACATTTATCACATTCACAAAAGCAGCTACCCTTGTTCTTGGAGCACCTAGTCCATAGGACTGCTAGACCACATGTACTCAAAGATGGGCCTCCCAAGATCATTGGGGAGCAAACGGCCCATCCTCCCTGGTAACTGTGGATGCCACTGGCTCTGGCTACTCCTAGTAAACTTCTCTTTTCTCGATGCTCCTGGATAATATGTAAGAACCAAAACTAAATGAGAGAGAGTGCGTGAGGTTGTTTGCCTGAGGCTAAGTCTGTGGCGCCTCTCTACTTCTTTGCAGTGTTTGTTTATAAGGTCATGTGAGGCAGGATGGTATAAAGGGAATGCTACTGAACATGTGGGTAAATCTAGAATCTGAATCCCAGCTTGGCTCGTGGCTAACTTTGTGATCTTGGGCAAATTACTTCCTTTCTTTGAATTTTGGTGCAGAGGCAATTTTTGAGGTTGCTGCTAGCTCTAATAGTTTAGGACCACATCATCCTATTGTGCCCCAGGTTGTCAGAATAACCAGGTTTTTTAGATGGTGGAGTCAGAATGGAGAAACAAGCAAACAACAAAAAAAATCTTAAGGAAAATTTTATGGGCAATATCTTATCTGGGTGAGGAAAGTAATGGCCTCGATAGTACTGCTGCCCATGATTCAAGCCAATTTTTTTTTTCCAAAAAGTACAGTATCAATAGCCCAGACAAACCACTAAATGCTGGTTAGCTGGGAGTTGGAAGAAACAAGACCTGAGTTAGATGGACATAGTCTGATGCCATAGGCTCATCTCTTCTGCAACTTTCACACAATCTCAGGCATCAAAGCTGTTTGCCTTTGAGTGAGAACAGCTTCCTCTCTAGGGGAACTTCTATTTGCTCACTATGTCCCAGAAAGCAAGAGAAAAACAAAAACAGCGGGACCACTCTTTGCTAACCCTTTGCTAGCACACCAGTCTTAAGAGGGTCAGAGTCTGGTAGCTCTGGTCTTCTCAGAGACTGCTTTAACAGAAATACCTCATGACCTGGGCAGGGCAGAGTGAACTGCAGCATTTCTCTGAAGGAAAGAGAAGGGGCCCCAGAGCTCCAGTATCATATCTAATAGAAAAATGTTCTGGGTGTGACGCTGTGTAGGAGGACTTGTTTCTGTGAGGGAGCCTTATGAAAAGACACACAGACTAAACGAGCAAACAAAAAAGTGGCAGACATGAATGTACTTCCTGCCACATTTTACACAACATGGAGGTACTTCCTGCCACATTTTACACAGAGATGAAAGTTGATTTTGAGAACACAAAGATATTACAGTAAATACTTTCATCTCTATAGTAACAAGAGTGAGAAAAATCATTAGGGTTATGTTTGTGTGTGTGTGTGTGTGTGTGTGTGTGTGTGTGTGTGTGTGGTATCTGGCTACTGTACTTTAACAATAATTCCTCTTGACATTATACAAGGTCAGCAAGTCACCTCAAGACCACCCTGCTCGAGGGTTTGCTTTCCACACAGGGCTGCATGGGCTCCCTCAGCTGAGAAATGTCACCCAGCACCTTTCATATTTATGGTGACTCATAAACAGGAAACCAGTCCTGTCCATGACATTGTAACTTTTTCATATCTCAAATCCTTTTATCAAAATGAAAACACACACACACACGCATGCATACACACACACACACACACACACACACACACACACACACCCCAAACAAAATAAGAGAACTTAGCTGCCTTCTGCTTTCTGGGCCAAAATAAATATTGCCAAATTAGTAAGGCATACTGAACAAATTAAGCGCTAAATGCAAATTTATCGACTGAAATCCAATGGCAGAGTCACCAAAGAGCTTACAGTGGTGGAGTGCAGCCCTGTAAGTAGGTGTTTGTGTTGGCGAGTCTCTGCAGAGGGACATGGGAACAGTAATATAAAAAGAGAGCATTTCTGTTACACCCAAGATGAACAGTTTGTTTTAGAAAGTTCAAGTAAACAGTGTCTAACATATATTCACTGAATTCAGAATCTCAGTTGCTAACAGGAGAGGGATGAAAAAAATAAGCTGGCAAAAATTTTTTAAAAATATCTCATTTGGAAATGTTCAAGTCAGCATCATAAATCATCTGATGAGATGGAGACGTTCCTCCTCATCTCTGAGCCATGAATAAGCCTCAACAGTGCTTCACAAAGGCAAACAAGAACTTCTCCCTGAAGGATATTTAAAACCTACAAAATAAGGAGAAGATTTATCCCAATATTTTCTAATGTCCCAAATGGAATATACATGATCCTTTAAAGTTATGGGCATCATTTATTATGTCAAAGTTTTAAAAGTTGTATACATATTGCCTTGTTTTGATGATTGATTTGGGAGGGGTTGAGGTAGAGAGTGGACATGTTTTTAAATGTGATCCTGTGATTGTGGACTCAATGACAGCCCTTCCTACACTGCTCAGGTTCTCTCATCTACTTTATTATGAAATACCCTAAGATGCAGAGAAACTCAGTAAGATCTCTGTTTGCATTAGATGCTTCTTCTTTAGCAAAGAGTTCCCACTTGTCTCGTCTTTGAAACTAGACAATTGAAGACACCATGATTCAGAGAAGTCTTTTATCACATACTACAAATTGAGAATAGAATGGGAACAGCATAGCATGTCAAGCCTAGAAGGATGTTTAGAACACTTTCTTTAACAGAGGAAAAATCTGTGCCAGAGAAAGTTCTAGAAGACTATTATTTTTATCTGCTGACTCTTAACCAAAGTGCTTTCTACATACCACTCTCCTCTCAAACACAGTTATTATTTAGAGGTTTTTTCTATAGATAATGTTCTCTTCCTACACACAGCAACACAGAGTAACAGAGTTAAATTTCTCCTTTTTCATGCCATATTTTGTTGCAAGAAAATCCAGCGGCCTTTTTCTGCAGAGGAGGAAATCAAGTCTAAACTCCTCAAGCGATTTGTGTTTTGAGGATACTCTTGGCCTTTGTTGGCCAAGACAGAGCACAAGTTTAGAAGTGGCAGTGCCAGGAAGACAGTGAGAAAACTGTGAAGCAGAAAAAAGTCCAGATATAACAACTTAAGAAAGGGAACTATATTAATATTTAGTGGGTGGGAATAAAAGTGACTTAGACATTATCTTCCCCAATATGACATTCCCTAAGAAATCAGCTAGTGTTACCTTTTCAAAAGTTAATTTATATTTTTTAAAATTAACACATTTATATTTATTTATCACGTACAACATAATGTTGTGAAATATGTATATACTATGAAATGGCTAAATCCAGCCAATTAATATATATATTACCTGACATACTTATTATTTTGTAGTGAGAACCCTTAACATCTAGTGTTACATTTTTTTAAAGTGTCTAGAGAGTCAAAGGAATGAGCATTAAATTGATTTAATTTATTTGCATATCACAATTTCAACAATCTAGAAACCAAGCAACTGTAATCTATAAAAAGCAGCAATACCTTCAGTTCAGGGACTCACACAGCATAGCAAACAACCTCGTAAGTGTAGCTTAATTTACCTGTGACACCCTGGATTCATCTTAGATTTATTTTTTTGATCAATAGTCTAGGTCAATAAACATCCACACACATACTTAGAAACCTATCCCTAGGAGTTCAGGAAAAACTTGAACTACTAAAAAAATAATTACAACAGAAGTTAAACAAAACTCTTTTAAACTGATTTAAATAAGAAGTAATATAAAAATAAGCATAGTGATTTTATTAATAATTATACTCATTAACAATATGTAAATTTCTTGGTGAAAATAACCAAAGTTTATTGTTATTGCAGTTCAATTCTCAGTCATGTCTCCTTCAGTGGAATATTAAACTAGGACCTCGCGTGGCCCTGGTTCTTGGTATAGAACCCACAGCCATCACCTTAGCTGGGTGGCCAATCCCTCCCCTCCACCTGAGCAAGGCAGCTCAGAGTGTCAGTCTGCTCCAGAATCGACCTGCTCCACCATCAAGGGATTGGGTCCTCCTGTCCTGCAGAAGATACAATGACTGTCACCTGTTGGTTATCGGCCAGTTTAAAGCAACAGGTGTCTTCCAATGTGTAGATGTTTAATGAATAAATATTAATTTTACTCTTTTCACATGGGTTGATCTGCCCTAGAATAATCTTGGGTTGCCTAATTCTTCCTACCTCAAAGGTTGATTGTTCAGATGAATTAAACTGTGAATATGAAAGTTTTGGGTAACCTCAGAGAACTACCAATTTGAGGAGATTGGTTATTAGTGTAGATACTCATGGAAATGCTGTGGCAAACTTAAAATCTGTGCTGACTTTGAAAGTGACACCATATGAAGTTATTTATAAGACATAGGGGGGTTTGTGTTTCAGGCCAGGTTTTGCTAAAGCAGTGAGCTGGGAGTAGAATGGACTAGGGGTTGAATAACCACCTTAGCCGCAAGGATGACCACCACTCATACAAAAGCAGTCTCCCAGGAGTGGCCTCCTTTTCAGCCTTACTCAATTAACAGCACTGTGCTGGGGCACTTGGCAAAGCACGGGGTCACTGGAGGGCTCCCTGGGAAGCACAGGTCCTGTGGGAAGTGAGCCAGGTCCTCACACCTGCCTCTTTCTCTGCCAGCACTCCTCTCTGTCTCCTTATAGACTTCTTCGCATTTCTTTTCAGAGTGTTCTATTTACACAGACACCATCCAAACTCATCATGCAAATCTTTGCACTCACTTAATCCAATGCCCAGCACATTTGAAGATGTAATAAATATCTAGACTAATCTTACTGAACTATCATTGTCAACATGGTTATCATCATCATTAGAATTTATTTAATCTTTACAACATTCTTTTCAGTTCCTTAATTAGGATAAATCCAAAGTTCATCTCATACATATAACTGGTAAATATGTTATTTACAGTTTGTCTTACATGACAGAGTCTATATTAACTGAACAATTTGATATCAGAGAATTCTCTCAGCATGGTGAAAATATTCCTTTTGTTGCTGCTATAAGTTTTGTTGAGATATCCTGAAATAAGGTAACAGGTATCTGGGCAGCTTTGTTCAGACAATGTTGCCTTGACCAGGCTGTTTTCTGTTGGGGGATGATCTACTGTCCAAGTGTGTGTATCTGGTCTTTCAAACTGTGTGGTGACCTCTTTAAGAGTATAAATCTTATCTCCTATTTCTGTACTCTTTTCCAGTATCTAACAAAAGACTTCACACTTAGTAAGTGTTCAGAAAAAACTCTGCAATAAATGAGGGAGCCTGAGAGCAGATGGGGTTTGGGTTGGACCAGCATTGTCTTCTGTTGAGCATAAAGACTGGTAATTCTGTAGGCCTCTCTACAGTCATACGTATCCATAAAACCCCATTTCTCCATACATGAAAACACACTCGACACAGCTGATGTGCATGCATCTCTCTACACACTCACACCTGTGCAGGCATGTGTATCCTAGTATCCCAGTATGCTCCGTTTCTGACATTCACTTCCTCTGCACTCAAAACAAGTCCCTACCCTGCCCACCACAAAGCCAGGCTCACAGCCAGGCACACTTTGTACACAGACACACGCCAACACAAACACATGCAAACTTATAAAGAGGCCAGCACTCGTGCACACACATGCTACACACATGCACACCTGCATATACTTCAGGTGTGTTTGAAGCTGAGACTGAAAGTTGGGAAGCACCCTGAATCCCTGCCTGTGTGGCAGTCACAACGTTATAAAATATGTCACACTAAAAAAAATTCTCTTTAGCCCCTGAGGATTGCAGGTTGACTTTAATGTTTTCAAGGACCCCGAATACTGACTCTTCTCTAACTTTGCTCAGGGCTAGTTCCTGAACAATACATAAATTGTATTGGAATTAACGAGAAGAATACACTGTGTTCTCTAAGTGCCTTTCGGAGTAGTGTCTCAAATGCTCAAGACAATATTACTATTGTCTCCAAAGCTCAAGCCTGTTGTTTTATCTTTGAGGAAGTTTATTCCTAGATAGAGATCTTCATAACACCAGCTGGATATGGAGACATCGACAGGCTGGGTAGCATTGTTGCCGCCTTATAAGAGCACCATTTTAAGAGCACCATTTAAAAACCAATGACTTTTCTCCTTAGCAATACAGCACTTGCCCTGCTCAGATCTGCCTTTCTGGGAAACCTCAGGCTTTAGGAATTGGCCCAGTTACTGGCAGGATCCACAGAGTTGTAAAGACCAATGGGAAGGGAAAGAGTTTAAACTTTAACTTCTTCAGACATCATGGTACCATCACGAAAATGAATCAGAAACACCCACTGAGAACATTTTTCACAGTCACTGTGCAGATGACAGAAGATAAGGAATGTTAGCAAAGGTGGAAAGTTCTGTACTGATAGCATCTTAGACCTGTGCGAATGGAGACAGTACTTCTCGGAAGTTTGCTGGGGAGTTCACATCACTTGTTTTCTTCTGACTTGCAGACTCAGAAAGAAAAACCTATTCCTAAATCACTCTTAAGAGAAATATTCTCCCCTCCCTCCTCCTAGTTTTGGAATGCTAAGCCTAAAGGGCCTCAACTTAATTCCTTTCTCTCTCTCTCTCTCTTTCACTCTCTCTCTCTTTAACAGGAGAAGAAAAACCAAGAACACAAAAAGAGAGGGGCTTATTCACAGTGACCTTATAATATAGGGGCCAAATTAAAACTTGAGCTCAAAGTCCCAGACTCTCATTTTAGGTTTTATTTTTATTTTTTCCTAATCAGGCAATGTTATTTTCCACTACTCATTTAATTCTCCCCCTTTACCAATGGGAATTAGCCATCTTTTCAGTGAAAATGGTTGTTGACTTGGCTTAATTTTGTGCTACAAGCTTTTAATTTACTATCACATTTACTGTAACGATTTGAATAGGGTTTTGATGAAATCTTAAGTGAATTTGGTGGGGGAGCAGTTAAAAATGAATTCGATTGGGATATTTAAAAAGTTTTTTTTTTTTTTTTCATTCTAGAGACCTGGGGGATTTTAGAACAGGGCTTTCAAGGTAATGAAGGAAGAGAATCTTCTTTGGACTTCTTTTTGCTCCAGATGCGGAGAAGGCAACTTCCCGGAGTCTCTACCAGTGAGAAGGCTACAGAATCATGGGCGTAAGTATGCATGGCTGGGCATATCCTGGGGTTTGCTGTCTTGTACCAAAGACCGGAAATCAAAGGCCACTTGAATTGTTAAGACACATCTGGCATGGAGTCATGTTGCTGTCTCCAGACTTGACCTGCCAGACTCTAGTCTCTGGGTAACACTTTTCTACCCACTGGCAGAGCTGAACAGGTTTTTGGAGGCCATCAGATCCAACCCATTTTGTAGGTGGAACAATTTAGGGCCATAGAAAGTGTGGTATTCAGAATAATCCCTTCACCTCCTCTACAAAGTTGTGCATGTCCTAATCCCCAGAGTCTGTGAATATAGCCAAAGAGAATTTGCAGGTGCAATTAAGTTAAGGATCTCGAGATGGGGAGATAACCCTGGATTATCTGGGGGGTCCAATGTAATCACAAGAGTCCTCATAAGTGGAAGAGGGAGGCAGGTGAATGAGAGTCAGAGAAGGAGAAGTAACTGCAGAAAGAAAGGTCAGAGGGTTTCGATTGCTGAGTGAAGATCACCAGCCAAGGAAATGAATTCTCCACTAGAACCTCCAGAAGGAATGCAGCCCAGCTGGCACTTTGATGGTATCCCCGTGAGACCCCTGTCAGACTTCTGATCTCTGGAACTCAAAGATGAATTTGTGTTGCTTTAAGCCACCAAATTTGTGATAGTTTCCTATGGCAGCAATAGAATACTAATACAGGTAGAAACAAGCAAAAGGGACAAGGACCTGCCTTCTTTCTTTTTCCTTTTGCCTGGAAACCATCTCTCCTCATGCCCTTTCTTTGCTTGGCCAACTTCTTTCCTCCTCGAGCCTTAGCTAAGGACGTGTTGTAGCAATGCGTCCCTCAGACTAGATTCAGATAGTTTCTCTGGGTTGTGCTTTTTCTATGAAGTTACTCACCACTGTGGACTGTACTGACTTGCACGTTCATCTCTCCCAGCATGCTGCAGAGTCCTTGTAGGCACGAACCAGGTCTTATTCATCTTCTGATCACAAACATCTAGTGCAGGAGAGCTTTGAGTCATTAGTTTTGAATGAATATGTCAGAGAGTAATGGAAAGCTGTTTTCAAACCCAGGTGTATTAGAGCTTTCTAGCTGGCATTAAAGAAGAATGCATGCATTTCTTCTGGGGTATTATTCTTGTCTTTCACTTTTTGCATCGCAAGAGAGCAAGTCCTTGAGATGACCTTGAAGCCTTTGAATCCAAGTGGATTGCCTGTGGGGTGACAGGACTTTGGGGACAGGCTCAGGATGGCTGATCCAAGGCAAGGCTTATGCCTTGAGCTCCTCAGGAAGGGGCGTCCTTGAACTTGTCACTGAGTTGTTACAGCTCCATGGACAAAATCTCTCTGTCTGAGGTGATAAACCAGTTTGCTAACATCCTCTCTGATCCCCAGAAAAATCAGGTCACCACCCCAAAAGGGAAGCTTTATTTCCAGAAGGCTGAGGAAATGCCAATGCCAGATATCACTTGGCAGTTCATGAATGGCTCCAAAAATCTGCCATGGGCTAATTGCAAATGTCTGTTCCTATATATGAAGATAAGCATGAACAAACATCTATCACCAGCTGCTGGTTCTTGGAACCAGTTGATTGACCTAGCAGAGTGGGTTATTTTGGAGAAGACAGTCCTGATGCCTTTTTTTTTTTTCTGGCTTCTTCTACGTTCCTCTGCAGGGTATATCCATGACACCAGCATGGACTTTTGCTGGCTCTCCCAGTGTCACGGACCCCAAGAAAATAATAGGGCTCATTCACCTTAGCTCTTCCATCTCGTAGAAGTAGGGCTGTTATTGTTACCCAGGTCCTTCACTTTAACCTCTGTGGATGTGGCTCTGACTTAGGTGCTAAAGTTGTGTGCACAGTCTGCCACCAGTGGAAGGCACCCTAGATATTGGTGGGATGGGAGCTCAAAGATCTGGAGGATGTGTCTTCTTTCTCAATATTTGTTTCCATTTTACAAATGAAAGACAATTTAGGCTTAAGCATATCATGCTGATTGCCTATAATACACTGCACTGGCTGTAGCCTTGGGAGAATGTCTGGCAAAGAAAAGGAGGCAAATATATACACAACCCCAAAACAAGGTGGTTATTTCATAGTGGGGCTTCTGTGGGACCTCCTTCTTCCCAAGGGTTGGCTAGAACAGTCATTTCCTGATATGGTTTGATTCTGTGTCCCCGCCCAAATATCATGTCAAATTGTAATCCCCAGTGTTGGAGGTAAGGCCTGGTGGGAGGTGACTGGATCATGGGGACAAATTTCCTCCTTTGGTGCTGTTCTCCTAATAGAGTTCTCATGAGATCTGGTTGTTTAAAAGTGTGTGACCCCTCTCCCCTTCTCTCTCTTACTCTTGCCCTGGCCATGTAAGATGTGCCTGCTTTCCCTTCGCCTTCCACCATGATTGTAAGTTTCCTAAGGCCTCCCCAGCCATGCTTTCTGTACAGCCTTCAGAACCATGTGCCAATTAAACCTCTTTTCTTTATAAATTATCCAGTCTCAGGTATTTCTTTAGAGCAATGCGGGAACAGACAAGTACATTTCCCCAGCCGGGTCTTCTAATGTATCACCACTTCTTGAGAACCTTGTGAAAAGGATTCAACAGTCAAGTGGGCTTAGAAAAAGCTGCATCTTATTTCTTTTGGAAATTTACAACACACCCTGAGAAGTCATATAGGACCAAACCCATCTAAATTTATCTCACAATGTTTTGAATATTGTTGCATGGAAACTTTCCCCTGCTGAATACCTGTTAATATATCATTTAATGAATGTTCAGCAGCTCTCATTTTGTGAAACCCCACATTTTGTGAAACCCTTCTCAGGGCTTCTTAGTGAGGTCAGTTTCTTTGCAGTGCTTTCTGAATGCTGCACGACTTACCATTTATGAAACAAGTGTCACAGATTAACCTCAGTTAATCCTCAAAGCAACTTTGAGGTAGGTACTAGTCATTCAATCACTAATTAATTAAATAATTCATATTTATTAGTTATCTACTATGGGCATGGCACCCAGGACAAGTTTGCTATTATCCCCATTTTATAGATGGAAAAACTGAGGCACAGAAAAGTTAAATAATCTATCCAGAGTGACATGATCTGCAGATGACAGAGCCAGAAACAAATTTCAGCTTCTTTGATTCCCCATCTTCTGTTGTTTTCGCTTTTCTGACTGCAGATAAGTCTGTAACTGTCAGCTTGCCCCAGTATCACTCTAGAAGTTCAGGAGAGGGGTCTTTGCTATAAGCCGAATCTAGATTCCTGCTCTGTCTCATCTTCCCCTGATGTTGTCTCTGCTTTCAGCTCTGAGGGTCTGCAGAGACTCAGAGCCCCGGCCACCTTTGTAGTTCCATACTCTGAAGACAGAGAGCAAGACAGAGGCCTTTGAATTCCTCTGCACTTGGCTGCTTCCTAGAAGAGACTCTCCCAGACACAAAGCTTTGGGACAATCATTCTAAAGGGTGCCCAGGCATGGTGGGCAAGGGTGGGAGGCCTTTGGACCTTGGAGTTTCCTGTGCTGTGGTCTAAGACCTGTTCAGTCAAGTCGAATTGTACCGGAATTGTGGAGTTTGTGTAGCGAGCCCACAGCCAGCTGTTTATTATTTTAAGAACTCTTGGTTGCTGCTCTTAGATATGGGGGTGGAGGGGGGCAAGCCTACTGTGCAGGGCGGCTGCCACATTCTTCTGGGAATGACAATGTTCCTCTGTGTGCTCTGCAGTGACCCCTCGGGCAGAGCTACTGCATTCCAGAACCCTATGCAGCCAGATGAACAGAAACTATTTTATCTCCTCAGTTATTGAAACAGAGTTGAAGATCTAGCAGTTGGACTTCTTTCCCTCATGTAGCCTTTATATAGGGAAGACCCCACTGGGGACTTGGGATTGTGACACTCATGGCTGTATCAGAGTAATAGGTCTGCATGCTCACACTATGCTCTGTGAAGCTCCCTCTTCTTTTCCTCACCTTTCAAAATGTGTCCCTGCTGGGTGCCCTGCAGTATGAATGTCTCAGTGTCCCACTGAAACATCTGTTATTACCCAATCGGGCTCAACACCCCTTCCAGCCATGTCCCAAGACGCTAGCGCTGAGTACTTTCAATGAAACAGAGCAATGTCCTCGAGCTGTAAATGCCTCCCAAAGACAATCGGACAGAACTTCATTGTTTTGGGGAAGAAGGCGCCTCACATAGTGGTCACATTGTGGTTACCAGGGCCTGATGATTAATCCACAGAGAGGATGTGCAGGAGAGAAGAGCTGGCATCATTCCTGTAGACGGAGATTCTTGAAAATTTCATGTCTCCAACTGAACATGTACATCAGAAACACAAGATTCCCATTGTAACAGTTTCTTTGGTGACCTTATTTTTCCATTTGTCAGTTGGCATATATGTAAGTACCTTTTGTCTCTGCCCAGGGATACTGTGTTCCTGAAGTATAAATGTTTTTACTCTTCAAAAATTTACATTGTGCTGACTACAATTATACTTCTAAAGATGCACACATATTGTGCTTTCTAAAATTTCTAAATCAGAAATGAAATATTGGGCAAATGGTGCATGTAGAAATTAACATATTCAGATACTGATCAATATGTATATATTTAGTACAAATATTAAATTCTTTTTAAAATCAAGTTTTCAAAAGCTCTGTGCCCAGATCTTTTGGGGTTACTCTAGGGGTTTCAAGCACTATCTGCCATGATTCTGTCCTCCACGATTCTGTCCTCCACATGATCACCACCGAGTGAAGAGGACTCATAAAGTGAGACAAACACTATACTCATAGGCAAACGCTGTATGAGAGGAGCTGAAACAGAAGAATACAATGATATCTGGTGGATGACAATTCGCTGCTCTGACAATACTGGTACTGGACCTTAGACAACTTCTTTGAGTTTCTGTTCCCTCTTCCAGATAAGTTTGCTCTGAAGAATAAATCATGAGATGTATGTATAACACGCTCTTTCTCAACCAGCCTGATGGAATAGCTGGTTAATAAACATTTGTTTTAGGATGGCATTGTGATTTTGGACTCCTATGAAATATTTTCAAACATAATCTTAGTAACTGTGCCCCTCAGGCCTCTTCGGAACAGCAGTAGCTGCCAGGTGGGCAATGGCAATGGGGATGAAGGTGGGGCTGGTGCAAGAGTCATTAGGAATTTGGTCATTGGTTGGATATCAGATTAGGGAGATGTGTCTCAGAGAGTTTGTGTTTCTACAGTGGACAGCTGGGCATCTAATCCAGCTCCTCCAATATCCCAATTAAATGTATGCTTCAGCTTTTGGGGAAACCCAGCCCAGAGTGCACTGCCTTCAGGTCTGTGTTCAGAAGCAAGCCTTCTGTCAAGGCGGAGTGGGATGAGCTGTTGCTTATTTTTATAACCTAACATCACACCAGACAGGGCTCAAGGCTCAGAAGACAAAGCAGAGAAAGTTGTGTCTCTTTGAATGTTGTGTCTCTTTGTTTTGAGCTCAAGGCCTTTTAATGCCATCAAATGTCTCCTTGTTCCCTTGTTGTGCAACAGGGCATGCAGCTCTGAATGGGACCTTTTATAATTGGAAATTCCATCACCGTTCCAGTTGCCCCTGATTCTCTTCCCTGCCAAGCAACATCCTCCAAGACTTTGAAGTTGCATGTTTGAAGGAAGCATAGCCCACCCACACCTCCCCACCCATGTTCCTGTCCACAGTGTCAGCTCAGACTCTGCAATAGAAGGGGGACCAGCTTCTGGCTGCCACATTTCAGGAGCTGGAGTCAGGGGGCCTGTGCTGTCCCATGATCCAGTGCTCCCTGTGCCTGGAACTGCCAAGGACAGTGCATTCAGAAGTTTCATCTGCAAGGAGGGGCCGGGCTTATCCTAAAGGGAATCCCTCCATGTCTCTGCTGGGTCCCAGTTTTAGAGAGGGCATTTCTGGGAGAGGCCAGCCTTATATACTGCAGACCCAAGTCCGTCCCAGGTCCTGCCCCAAGCATACAGTGTCTGCTTCACATGCAGCCCCTGCTTTTCTCATTTGTATGTGACCAGATTTCTGAAAAAATATCCATAGATGTTTTTCTGACACTTACAGAGCCATTGGACTAGAAATGCATCCAAACACAGTAATAGCTTTGTACCTAAGCAGGAGAGGAGGAAAGCACAACATTTATTAAGCACATACAATGTCAGTGGTTGATATTATATTTTACTTAATCATCACAAAAAAACACTTGGAGGCTATCTGCATTGTACAGATGAGGAAAGTGAAGATCAGAGACTGAGGATTTGTCCGTATTTTCATAGCTATTAAGTGAAAGAATGAGATTCAAAACCAGGTCTACTTAACTCAAAGATGGGCTCTTTCTTTTAGAGAATGATTATTTTCAGATCCTTTTCATACTGAGTCTGGTTATTAATAAGACTTCTCTTTTGGCCAGCTCCTTTAAAGATGTGTCTTGGGCAGACTCTTCCTAACTTGATATCCTCCCTCTGTGTCTTTTTCTTCCTGGTGCTCATCATTTCCCCAGCCCTCCTCAGATTCCAGGGCCCTTCGGATCTTCCTGCTTCTCCCTCAGGCCCCCAGCCAACATGTATTTGACATGCTCCATCCATGTTACATAGGCTTGAAGGACAGTTAGAGAAGCACCTTGTCTTGGTTCATGCAGGTTGCTATAGTAAAATACCATAAACTTGATGGCTTAAAAAACAATATAAATGTATTTCTCACAGTTCTGAAGGTTGGAAATCTAGGTTCGAGGGGCCAGCAGATTCAGCCTGTGGTGAGGGCCAGCTTTCTGAGGGACACCTTCTTGCTGTTTCCTCACATAGTAGCAGGGATGAATGCACTCCCTTGGGCTTCTCTTATAAGGGCACTGGTTCCATTTATGAGGGCTTGCTCTCATGATATAATCACCTTCTAAAGGCCCTAGCTCTTAATACCATTACCTTGTGGATGAGGATTTCAACATATGAGTTTGGGGATACACAGACAATCAACCATTGCATACCTCCTGTGTATATATTGTCTGAACTTAATAGGGTTTTAAAACCATCAGCCCAGAAGAAGGCTGTTGTAGAGTAGCGGTCCTGTTTGATTCAGTTTTATAGTCCTGGACTCCAACACAGTTCTGGGCCTTTGCATGATGATATGGTTTGGCTGTGTCCCCACCCAAATCTCATCTTGAATTCCCATGTGTTGTGGGAGGGACTAGTGGGAGGTAATTGAATCATGATGGTGGGTCCTTTCCATGCTGTTCTTGTGATAGTGAATAAGTCTCTCAAAATCTGATGGTTTTATAAAGAGGTGTTCCCCTGCTGCCACCCATGTAAGATGTGACTTGCTCCTCCTTGCCTTCCACCATGATTGTGAGGCCTCCCCAGCCACATGGAACTGTAAGTCCATTAAACCTCTTCCTTTTGTAAATTGGCCATTCTTGGGTATGTCTTCATCAGCATCATGAAAACAGACTAATACACTAAATCAGTACCAGTGGAGTGGGGCACTGCTGAAAAGATACCCAAAAATGTGGAAGTGACATTGGATCTGGGTAATAAGCAGAGGTTGGAACAGTTTGAAGGGATCAGAAGACAGGTAAATGTAGTAAAGTTTGGAACTCCCTAGAGACTTGTTGATTGGCTTTAACTGAAATGCTGATGATGATATAGACAATGAAATCCAGGCTGAGGTGGCCTCAAATGGAGATGAGAAACTTGTTGGAAACTGGAGCAAAGGTGACTCTTGTTATGTTTTAGCAAAGAGACTGGCAGCATTTTGCCCCTGCCCTAGAGATTTGTGGAATTTTGAACTTGAGAGAGATGATTTAGGGTATTGGGTGGGAGAAATTTCTAAGAGCAAAGCATTCAAGATGTGACTTACGTGCTGTTAAAGGCATTCAATTTTATAAGGGAAGCAGAGTATAAAAGTTTGGAAAATTTGCAGCCTGATAATGTGATAGAGATGAAAATCTCATTTTCTGAGGTGAAATTCAAGACTGCTACAGAAATTTGCATAAGTAACGAGAAGCCAAACGTTAATCCTCAAGACATTGGGGAAAATGTCTGCAAGGCCTGTCAGAAGTCTTCATGGCAGCCCTTCCCATCACAGACCCAGAGACCTAGGAGGAAAAAATGGTTTCATGGGCAGGACAGCAGGGGGCAGGCGCAGGTGCCCCATGCTGTGTGCAGCCTAGGGACTTGGTGCCTTGTGTCCCAGCTGCTCCAGCCTCAGCTAAAAGGGCCAAGGCACAGTTAAGGCTGTGGCTTCAGAGAGTGCAAGCCCCAAGCCTTGGCAGCTTCCATGTGGTGTGGAGCCTTTAGGTGCAAAGAACTGACGTTTGGGAATCTCTGCCTAGATTTCAGAAGATGTATGGAAACAAACACCTGGATATCCAGGCAGGAGGTTGCTGCAGAGGCAGCGCTCTCATGGAAAACCACTGCTAGGACAGTGCAGAAGGGAAATGTGGGGTTGGAGCCCCCACATACAGTTGCTGCTGAAGTACCGCCTAATGGAGCTGTGAGAAAAGGGCTACTGTTCCCCAGATCCTGGAATGGTATATCCACCAACAGCTTGCACTGTGTGCCTGGAAAAGCTGCAGACACTCAATGCCAGACCATGAAGGCAGCTGGGAGGAAGGCTGTACTCTGCAAAGCCACAGGAGTGGAGCTGCCCAAGACCATGAGAACCCACCTCTTGCATCAGTGTGGCCTGGATTTGAGACCTGGAATCAAAGGAGATCATTTTGGAGCTTTAAGATTTGACTGCCCTGCTGGATTTCAGACTTGCTTGAGGCCTGCAGCCCCTTTGTTTTGGCCAATTTCTCCCATTTGGAACAGATGTATTTTCCCAATGCCTGTACCCCCACTGTATCTAGGAAGTAACTTACTTGCTTTGATTTTACAGTCTCATAGGGAGAAAGGGGGACTGTTGGGAAGGCATGATTGGTTTTGAAGTGTGAGGACATGAGATTTGGAGGGGCCAGGGGTGGAATGATATGGTTTAGCTCTGTCCCCACCCAAATCTTATCTTGAATCCTCACGTGTTGTTGGAAGGACCCAGTGGGAGGTAACTGAATCATGGCAGTGGGTCCTTCCCATGCTGTTCTCGTGATAGTGAATAAGTCTCACAGGATCTGACGGTTTTATAAAGAGGAGTTTTCCTGCACAAACTCTCTCCTTGCCTGCTACCATCCAAGTAAGATGTGACTTGACTCCTCCTTACCTTCTGCCATGAATGTGAGGTTTCTCCAGCCATGTGGAACTGTAAGTCCATTAAACCTCTTTCTTCTGTAAATTGCCTAGTCTTGGGTATGTCTTTATCAGCAGCATGAAAATGGACTAATACACATGAATAAATGAATGAGTAGAACTTTAAGAAATTAGCCCAACTGCCGTGAATGAGCATTTGGGAATATCAGATATTTTTCCTTGCATCTATGAAATCACGTTATGTTGGTAGACACCTCACAAGCCTGTGCGCAGTATCCCAAAACATTAAACTTGTTCTTTTATAATTTTATTCAGCATTTTCTGAGCACCAACTCTTAGTCAGGTTATGCTGGAGGTGATATGGGTATGGAGAAATATAGGCCCTGTCCTCAGAAAGCTCACAATCCAAGTAGGAGGCAGACTTTATTTTTATGCAAGAAATAAGACATAAAGTAATAGACATCTGTCTCATTTGAGAAACAGATGTGGAAAGACTACCTGGATGAAATATCTCTTGAAAACAAGGATTTGGTGTGGTTATGATAAATAATTTTTGTGAAAGGGTGGAAAATGAGCATGTAGAATCAGTAGCAGCCTTGCGATGTTAGAGTTTGAAACTGTATAATTTTAATAGGAGAGTATACATGTGTGAGCATTGATAATTATATTTTACATTACAGAATGCTTCCACATATAGTATTTCAAATGCTTTACATGAATGAGCTCATTAGATCTTTGCTATCACTCTGAAGTAGGTTCTCTTATTATTCCCACACAACATAGGAGGAAACTGAAGGCAAAAGCCACACAGGAAGTCCGTGGTAGAGCTGGAATTCTAGCCCAGTCTCTGAACCCCCAGACACTTCTGCCTTTTAGAGATATGATGGAGTGTACTCTCTGGAAACCAGGGCTATCCTCTCTAAGTACAAGACACTCATGGAAGTGGTGGTCAAAGTGTAACCTCAAGCCCAGGCTTGAATCTTGGACTCACACTAATTCCTGATCCAGATGACAATGCCAGGAATGCAAGCATCATTGTGTTGGTCTGGATGGCTCATGGGATGGGTTCAGATTTTGTGTGTTCAACATTTAAGAGACATTGAATCTAGTGGAAACAGAGATTACATGGAAAATGACCTCACTAGCTAAGGGCTGAAGTTGAAAATGCCTGGCTTGAATTTTGGCTTCACCCCACCCTTTCTTCCTTTCTGGCTGCTTCTATGGCCATGTGGCCCAGTCCCAAGGCTGCTGCAGAGTAGCCTTCTGTGCTCAGGGTGGCAGCTCCTGGCAGCACTCTGTATCTACTCTGCTGTATGGAGGAGGAACTCCCAAATTTCAGTAGCAATATGCAAGATTATCCAAAGACCAGAGAGACTAAGGTAGAGGCATTTATAATATATAACCATGTTTTCCTGTATGAAAAAATTGGAAGAAAATGATGTGACTCATTGAAAATTTTCACTGAAAAGCCCAAATAATTGTAGGGGGTATGGCATTTCTATATCATACAGTATTTTTTCTTTTTTCTTTTTTTTGCCAAAAACTCATATATCTTCTCTACCAGCCTTGTGAAATAGGAAAGTATTCTTTTCCTTTATTGCATATGAGAAAACTGAAACTCAAACAGTGAGTAACAGGCAGAACCAAGCTTTCCAACTGGGATCTTTTTGACCTTTGGTTTAGTACTTTTCATCCTGGTTGGTGCTGCTTTTTCTGGTCTTCTGAATTCAAGCTGAATGCTTGGTCTCCTACTGTGAACTATGGTATTTAATTTATTTATAAGCAAGAATGATGTTCTGCCTGTATGCACTATTTTGACATTTTTGTTGTTAATGAATTCCACCTTACCGATTGGTCAATGACAATGCCATAGTAGTTTTTAAATATTTTGACTAGTCATTCTGTTTTTATGTAAATATTTAATATTTTCTATTACCCTACTTCAAAAAAGATTTATGATAGTCTATAAAAGTATCATAAAATGGTAAGATAATATTATTAGATGTTGATAAAGAAGCAAAAAGAAATACAAAGACAGAAAGATAAATTTTGGCAGAAATGAGACCAACATGAAAGTGTAAATCTTCATCTGAAACACTTCTTAGGGATGAGCCACTTACTAGATTCTAAACCTCCCAGGAGCCAAAGGCAGAAGAAGAGCTGATTTAGTATGTTATGTACTGTGTCTTTAAGAAAAAACAAAACTATGTGTGAAACAAAATCATCTTACTGAGCCCCCTCAAAAAGAGAACACTGTAATTTAATGAGTACCATTTCCACAATCTCTATAAAATACTCAGGACAATAATGAGCTTGAATGGGTCATTTCATAGGCTGCTTGAACCAAGAGGTAGGATGTCCAGCACCAGCCTCTATTTTGCCTTGAGTTGTTTTGTGACCTTCTGAGGCTACTTGCTTTGTCTCCCTTGTTAGATAATAATTTATCTAACATGTGATGCTTGATTCAAATTTTTCCTGAAAAATTACCAAACAATAACTTTTAAAAACTAGAAAAATAAAGGAGTTGAACTACAGTTAAGGAGGTGGGAACATAGTCCTGTTCGAAGTACATTTCTTACATGATTGGACTCCTTCCCCTTGCTATGCCAAAGACATGGGAAGCCAAATGTTTTTCATTACCCTCTGATTTAACAGGTGGAAAATCCTATGGACATTTGTAGAATCCTTGTCAACTTCAGACAGAAGTAGTCAGTGCAATTCTTACACCCATTCATTTTGTCATTCATTCATCCAGCTTTTTATTAGAAATGTATAGACTAGCATTATGTGATTGGCCCTGAGGACATAGAAACAGTTAAGTGCTACCCTGGAAGAGATTATGAATCAAAGAAGGAAACAGAAATACACAGGGAGAATCACAGGGTAATGAGGTAAGCATCGTAGCAGAGATACATACAATGTGGTGAGGAAAGGGGAGAAAAGAACCATTATCACCACCTGGGAAGCTAGGGATGGCTTCCTTTAAGACTTGATGGTTGATTCCAGTCTGGACATAAATTCCCCAAGAGGTTGAGGGTTAGAAGAAGATGATTTATGGTGTGAGAAACATATTAATTGCACAGCAGTGACCAAGAGTAGCAAATGTGTTTGGGCAACAGTAAGCATTTGAAGGATACAGGGTGGAGCTGCTCAAAGGTTTGGGAAGGCTTTTATTCAGTAGAGCTTTAGTACTAAAAGATTTAATATCAGACCACTTTTCCCATAAACCTGTTAAGAATCCATGTCTCTCATTACTACATTTTAAAAGAAAAAATTTACTAAACATATGGTTTATTTAAAGTTTAAGAAGGGGTTTTCTTATTTGTGTTTATTTGTATTCATTAAGGCTCTGAGAAAGAGAAAAAGCATCAGAAGCACAGAGAGTGTACTGGATCCATGCAGGACTGTTGGATGGCCATGAATCAAAGGCCTAAGCAAGTGACTGCCCATTTCCCCTTAGATATAATGCTTTAAGAAAAAAATTCAAGCAACGGCATATAATGTTACGTCTTCCATGATGCACTTCTCCCCTTGGTAAGGAGTGTTGGGCTTTAGTTTCGTGTTTTGGGCTTGCATCAACTCTACTCTGTATGATTAATATGAAGTTCAAATGGCCAAGAAAGAATGTGCTGCCTCCAATTCAGTTGCATAGGCATTCATCCCAAAACTGTATATTTGCAAAAGTCACACCATGAGTTAATTTTTTTTTAAAGCAGGAAAATCTCATTGCCAGAAGAATGAAGTGCCTTTGGATTTGTGATTCTATGAGCTACCCTCAAAGTGGGAGGAAAAGCAGAGCCTTTATAGCTATTAATAAGTGGTGTGTATTCTTGAGGTTGAGTTTAAAAACTTAAATCCATGCTGGAACTTAATAACCTCTGAAGATTTAGAACACATCATTCAACATTTTCAACTTCATCAGTAGCATTGGAATCAATATAAGTGCCAGGAGACTTGCTATATAAATAAATTTAAGAAGTCCAAAGAAATGAATGGACTGTAGATGTGTATAGCACAAATAATTGGCTGGATATACAAATTTAATTCTCCTTAAAATTTGGGGGTAAAGTCCTTTTCATTTGCCTTAGGATACAATTTTTCAAGCAGAATGAAAGAAGAGGGAGTCTTTTACTTACTGTCATAAGAGTTCCTAGACTCAGAGGTCTATGCTCATATCTCCTGTTTGCTAAAATTGGATTATCCAAGCCAACTGGTAGACCTAATATTGAGTTTCAGTCAGTTGCCTGAATTTGCCAGATCCCCAAAAGGACTCTGTCACAAGCTAAAGCTCATTAGCTAGCTTCCTTACTGCAATAGTAATTTTCTCTCATTCTATTTAAAGTAACCCTCACTCATGCCATGGTAAATGATTTTACATTGCACAAAATATGCTGAAGCATTCACATTTTGGCTGATCGCAAACCACACAGGAATAGGACTTTATTCTTAAGGAATAGTTTTTGCCTGCCCTGGGTCTTTGTTGCTCACTTTCAGCACTCTTTGCCAACTTAACATTCTCCAAGAAAGTGTAAATCCTACCACGGGAAAACGAGGTGTGGAATATGTGTCTTGGTTGATGACATCACCTTCTGGTTAGGGCTGTAAATTACATGAGCCTATGCATACAGATACTGGCTTCTAAGGTGCTAGGTTTTATAGCTGTATATTTTGAGCTTGGAAATTCATCATTTAAGGAATGGAGATGATCCCTTCTGCCCAGCAGAGAGCCATTCTGGGATCTTAAGGGAGTGCATTGGCCCAGAAGTCCAATGAATAGGAGGTTTTACATGTAACAAAGCTACTGATTTTGGCCAAATGCTTGTGATTGGCTTATTATAAGTCCCCATTATAAAATTCTGATAAAATAGCTAATGACTACATGTGCTACCTTACCCTCAGGAAGGGGCTACCCTCATTAAGTGATTTCAGGATCCCAAAGAAGGTCATTAAGCTAGTACATGCCTAAACATCTATCATAAGATAGTCTCCATACCTTATTGCCAATTCCCTTAGAAAGGACCACTGTTGAAGTCCCTTTTAGTGCACTAGTTATTAACTGTAAGTGATAGTGTCCTCAGGGGGACATTTGGGAAAGTCTGGGACATTTTTAGTTGTCACCACTGGAGAAAGAGGATGCTACTGGCATCTGGTGGGGAGAGGCCAGGAGTGCTGCTAAGAATCCTACAATGCACAGGACAGCACCCCTGTCACTCACAACAAAGAATTATCCAGCCCGAAATATCAACAGTGGTGAGACGGGGAACCCCTGTCTTAGTGTAAATGAGGGATGTGAGGGGTTTATTGAAGAGGGAAGATGGTAGACGGAAACAGCATGAGGAATATGGACCCTTGTGTGGAAAGTTAGGAAGCCCTAAGCACAGAGTCAGAACATAATGGAGTGTCTCATTCTACCGATGGTCAGCCCTAGACCTTTGCTGGAAAATTATAGTTTTCAGGATCTTTTTAGAGCTCAGAGAGAATGAAATGAAACAAAAAGTAGCATGGCCTCAGGTTCTATTCTGAGCTGGCAGAGTCCAGCAGAAAGATGTTTCAGTAGAGAGAATACAGAATGCAAGACCCAGGTGACAGGCCTGCAGCAACCCCAATGCAGTGAGGGCTGTCAGATTCCATGCAGAAAAACTGGACACACAAAATCTCTTCCCTAACTAGTTGTATGTTCTCTCTTTGTAGCAAACACAAATTATCAGTATTAATCTAGTCAGTTGTACATGGCATTCCAAACTAGTGGGAAGTATTGCGTTCTTCTTCTTCCTAGTTTGTGGATGATAGATTCAGAACTCTCAGATATCCATAGACCTCTCTAAGGAGTAACAGTGGATGAAGCATGGAGAACAACCATTTTCCCCAGGCAAATTCTCCAAAAGTGGTGCATATTCAATAGTTTTCAACAGAGGCTGATATGGCAGTTGTTTACTGGATCATGATAAGAAGATATTAGCAGAAGCAATGGAAAGCAAGGCTGGGAGACATGTGGAGAAGGTGTTTTTTGCAGGCTTGCTTCTCCCCACCTACTGAAAACACATGCCTGCTTCAAGACTTATTCTGTTGATAATTTAAACTTGTCCAAATCCCTATTGTCCCTGCAAAATTCTATCAGCGGCATCCATGGTGATGCGCCAACTTCTTCTTAAGCCAGATCATGCCATAGCTCTCTTTTTACTTCCTGTTTGTTCATAAAGAAACTGTCCAGACCTTCTTTGGTGTTTTTTGTTTTTTTTTTTTTTTTTTTTGCTCAGATGTCAGCTACATGAAGTCACATTGTAACCGCAAAGAGACTCTGTGCTTGTGCCGCTGCCTGGTGTTAACAAAGCTCTAATGCTGCTTGGCGTGAAGGAGGCTAGTCATTGTGGCCAAACTTCTGAGAGGTGCACGGGGCCAAATGTCGGACTGCCAATTAAGCAGCAAGGTGGAAAATTCTTGCCTTCCTTTTGGCTCAGATGAGCTGGCTGGGAAAGAAATTAAAATGAAACAGGCAATAAGAAGAGAGATTTTATTTTTAATGTATTTGAGTAGTATGAGAAGTGCAAACATTACTATCCTATTGATAACCACACATCGCACTCTCCACACACATACAGCACATGCACACATATGCAATGAAAGGACTCTAAGAAACTGTCTCTTTGGCATTCAGTTGCTAGAGCTCCAAGTTGAGCAAATCTGCTTAAGAAGAAAAGCAATTTACACCCCAGGTCAATGGCTTAACCTCTGTCCACATGGCCCTGTTAACACAATCTATCTTTGAGGATTCAGAGTGAATTATAGAGTCATAGAAATCTATTTTTAGCAATAATAGTAATTATACATATGCATAGTGATTTAACTATTACAGAGAATATACACATGCATTTTCTTGTTAGATCTTCACAACAACATCATTCCTTCATTCATTAAAGGTTTACTATGTGTCAGGCACTGGGTTCATGAGATTAACTGGGAAGTGAGATCAAATAATGTGGTTATAATCATACAACTTCTAAGTAGAACAACCTGCATGGAAACCTGCCTTCTAACCCTCAGTCACACATTTTTTCAACAAGCTATATATTACAATTTCTGCTTCCATTCATACTTGGCATTTAGCTTACGTAGGGCTGATGAGTGGAGCCTCTGACTTAATAAGACAGTGATCTTATGGCCCCCTTGTCCCACATGGGACAATTGTAGCCTAGTGAGGGTTCTTTAGGCTTTTCCCAGTGAATGTTTGTTTTTTTTTTTTTTTTTTGAGAGCTACTGCCTGTGGTTCTCAACATTTCATGCATATGGGTAAATAGTGGGAGTGGATGATTTTATTATATTTTACAAATGGCCAAATTCCACATTCAATATTCCATAGTTCTATGGGCAGATTTATTTATTTATTTGAGACAGGGTCTCACTTTGTCATCCAGGCTGGAGTACAGTGGTGTAATCTCGGCTCAATGCAACTTCCACCACCCCAGGTTCAAGCAATTCTCTCACATCAGCCTCCTGAGTAGCTGGAGTTACAGGCATGTGCCACCACACACGGCTAATTTTTATATTTATTTTTCTGTAGAGATGGGGTTTTGCCCTTTTGACCAGGCTAGTCTCTGACCTGAAGATATCCGCCTGTCTCAGCCTCCCAAAGTGCTGGGATTATAGGCGTGAGCCATCATGCCTGGCCAGCCATTATGCCCACTGAGATTTATTTTTGGTACAGTTTTTATAAGTAGGCTCTGCAAAAGGGAGATTGTTTTTATTTAGGAAAACTGAATACATCACAAATATGCTGTAGATATTTTGGCTCTTCAGTCCCTGAGATTTTACTTGGACTTGCTAATTTCAGGCCATGTTGACTCCAGGTTGCTTTTTTCACATACACACATCATCCTTTATTCTAAGAATTGAAGAGTTTCCTTTTAAGCCAAAGGCCTATTGAATGGGAAGTTTGGCCCATATTCCACATGTCTGAGTCCTAGCTCTAGAGTCAGTGATTAACATTTCTCTCCCCATCTCTCTCTCCCCACTTCCTCTTTCTTGTCTCCCTCTCTCTCTCTTTCTCCCCACTCATTCATTTATGTCATTCATCTATTAACTTATTCCAAATGTATTAAATGCACATGAATATTTATTGAGTACATATTCTGTGCCAGGTGCTGTAGCAGTCTCTTGAAGATTTAGCAGAAAACAAATTATCCAGTTCTTGGTATGTGATGAGTGTGTGTTTGTGTGTGTGTGTGTATGTGTGTCATGGGGCAAGGCGTCCCTGCATGTGTGTGCATGTGTCAATGTCAATGCATATGTGTGCACTGTCACCTGTATTACTGCTATAATTAATATACAAAAATTCTCAGTTTTGATGCCTCTTAGACCCAAAGTGTAAGAGGAAAACACCTCCTAGGGATATCTTTGGTTCCGATTTCTCTACAACTTTCCCACAATCTGTCCTATAATCAGTTCAACTTAGGAATTATTTTTACTTTCAGACGCATCTTTTCTGTCTTCTAACTTAGATTTATCAATAGATGATATGCTCACATTATTTTTGCTACTTGAAGCATAATTTAAATGACTAATCTCCAAATATTAGACTTCCCTTTCTTATCCTCCCAAGAATATATTGTAGTTAACACTTAATCTTGAAACAAAGAAACAAATAAAAGCTGTGCTGAGAAACACAAAACCAACTCAAAAACTGCCTGGTGAATGACTCCCTGACAGCTTTTTCTTTAGCTACGTGGTGGTAGCAGGTGTTTGGTCTGGATAACCAGGGAGTTCCCATACGTTATGCTAGTTTTCAATGTAGCTTCCAAACACGACTTTATGCTAATATCCAGGTAGATTGTAGCCAATGTCAGTGTCTTCCAGTTGCTCTGCCCAAGTGAAGCAGAGGCGTTCATTCCAGACCATTTCTCTGTGTTCCCGTCCATCCAGCTCCAGCCAGGGAGCTAGGCTGATTTTGAGGACAAACTACTGGCAATTGGCTTTCTGACTTCTGCAGTAATGCTTTTCTAACTATTTGTGCTTGGACCTTTTCTCTATTCAGTTAACTAACACATTCTGCCTAAAATAATCATCCTAACATTATTCTGTTTTTCCTGCTCACCCAAAATCTTCAGGTACCATCAAATCCATTAATTAGCCATATGCCACCTATGTATTAAGACTAGAATTGCCTTCTATTAGGAGAACATTAGCATACACTATGCTATTTTATCCACCAGTCTTGTGAGTTAGGCATTGGCTTCATACATATTTTAAAGAAAAAGAAAAAGCCATCAGCTAAAGCAGGCTCTGGACTCCATTTTATATCACCTTCTGTAAGATCCTCCACTGAGTTACAGCAAAGATGGAGAGGGAGGGCAAAGGTGTCCACTGAAGAACAAAAGAGCATGGGATAGGGGCTGTGTTGAGATCTTTCAGCATCCCAAGGGTAGCTCTGCATTGAGAAATTTTTGCAAGTTTGAGGACATGTGTTACTAACAGACACAGATGGGTAATGGCCTTGATGAGTGTGTAAACATCTAGAAGTGAGAAGTAAAAGCATACTCTAAGTTGGAGTCTGTACAGCACTAGATCATGTGCAGTTTGTTGTCAGAGTTTTAAGTTACAAGATTGAAGCATGAACTATTTTCTAGGCCTTCTTGCCGAGAACTAGGAAAGGAAATTAGGATGAAGCAGGGCTGCCTAATGTCCTGAGCTGTACCCTGTGAGTTCCTGAAGGGCTCTCCATTCCTGTGATGACAGATGCAATAGCTACATCCAACCAAGGCCGTCCTGGGGAGAACCATAGGCAGACAAGGTAACACAATGCTTAATAGCATGGGTTCAAATCCTGGCTCTGCCTCTTCCAAGGGATATGACTGCGCAGGTGAATCAACTTGTCTGGGCTTCCATTTCTTCCTCTATAAAATGTAAATAATAACCCGCTCAGGGAGTGTAATGAAGACTAAATCAGGTAATCTCTGTTAAGAACTAAGCAGAGCAATTGACATTACATGTTCAATTAATAGTTATTGAAAAACATTTTAAAATAATTTTAGATTCTATCTTAGATTCAGGGGATACATGTGCAGGTTGGTTTCTTGGGTATATTGTGGGATGCTGAGGTTTAGGGTATAATTGATCACATTAACCAAGTACTGAGCTTCGTACCCAATAATTAGTTTTTCAGCCCTTGCCTCATCCCTTTCTCCACCCTCTAGTAGTCCCCAGTGTCTACTGTTTCCATCTTTATGCCATGAATATCCATTGTTTAGCTCCCGCTTAAAGTAAGAACATGTGGTATTTGGTTTTCTGTTCCTGCATTAATTCACCAAGGATAATGGCCCCCAGGTGTATCCATATTGCTGCAAAGGACATGTATTTATTCTTTTTCATGACTACATAGTATTTCATCATGTAAATGTACCACATTTTCTTTATCCAGCCCACCATTGATGAACACACAGGTCGATTCCATGTCTTTGTTATTGTGAATAGTGCTGTGATGAACATGTGAGTGCATGTGTATTTTTGGTAGAATGATATATTTTCTTTTGAATATATACCCAGTGATGGGATTTCTCATTCAAATGGTAGTTCTGTTTTGAGTTCTTTGAGAAATCTTCAAGCTGCTTTCCACAGTGACTGAGCTAATTTACATTTTCACCAAAATTGTATAAGCTTTCCCTTTTCTCTTGCAGCCTTGCCAGCATGTGTTGTTGTGTTTTGAAAAACATTTTTAAAAGGCTGCCATATTTTACCACTGATGTACTCTTCTCTCATCCTGACTTAGGCTAGGGAGATGCTTTGGGAGACTTCACTTTGGTCTCTCATTCCTGGCCTACACACAGAAGTACACAGAACTGTCTCAGGCAAAACTGGTTGAAGCGGCAGTGGTCCTTTTTTTACAAGTTAGGAATTTGTTGGCTGGTATGGCTGGGAAAGACATGACTGCCTTGCAGAAAAAAGAAGCACTCAGGAGCCAGCATCCCTGGGCTGGACTCTGGGTCCTGAGGAGACAGGGATTTCCTCCACTGCTGTCTCTCATTTCTGCTGCCCCTGGTGTACTGGCCTTACTGTCTCCAATTGTAGGTGGGCTTTCTCCCCAGAGGAGGGAATGTGTTCATAGGTAGCCTCACATCAACAATTCTTGCAGAAGACAAAATAGGGTGTGATTTTTGATAATGAATTATTCAAGGTCCCAAAAAGAAAGTGGATGACTCTTTTCAACCAGAGTGATAAAAGGAAGGTTTAGTAAAGGAGCTATTTACAAAGGTGTGTGCAGGACGTAGGTAGGGTGACTCACCATCCAGTTTGCCCAAGACTGTTTTAGTACTGAGAGCCCTCTCATCCGAATGAGAGGATTTCACAACACTCCATTTCTGCGAAAAGTAGGGTGAGTGGCCATTCTAGGTAAGAAAAACACAAGAGGCTATGCACAAGAGGCTAGTAACAGCAGGGTTGTGGCCACCCCTACTCCTCAATTGACAAACGGAGGGAGCAGTTAATGGAACTTGGGAGGAGTGTGTTGTATTGAGGGGCCCACTGCAAGGAGCACTGGTCTTTGGTGAGGGACCCAAGCAGCCTAAGGCAGCCCTGAAAGAAGGAAGTCAGGGAGATAAAAGCCCTGAACTTGCTTTCCTTCTTTTCTCCCATCTTCAAGAGTTTCAATTTCAAATCAAAGAACATGCTGGAGTGTTGTCATGAAAAGCAGATTCAAAACTGGTCACTTAGTTCACTCATTTTACACCAGTTTAATGAATACCAGTAGGTCAAGTTCTATATTATGTGCTGGTGTTTAAACAAAGGCACCTATACCAGGAGCTAAGGTGGGGAACATGGAGCCCAAGATAGAGGTGGCTGTAGTGAAGAATAGGTGCATGGTATGATGGGTGAGGCCAGGTGGATTAGGCACCACTGAGGAAGAAATATCTGGAATTTATAGCTCTGGGTCCCTGGGATTATCTTCAGAAATGGTGTTTTGTGCATGTATTTCTTTTTAAGGTCTATACTCTGTTCCTGGGGCCATGACCTTCTTCTAATTCAAGATGCAGGCTGCCTCAGAACATAGCAACCAATGAGATTATTGCTTGTTGCTATCATCAATAGAATGCGTTAAGATTATATCTTGACTCCCAATATGTAATTACTACTGACACCCACTTCCTAACTCCCTCAGGATAGGTATGTTTTATATATTATATCATGTAATTTTCATGAAAAATTATGATAAACATATTTTCCTGGTTTAAGAGGCTCAGGGACTGGGTAATTTTTCCAAAGTTGTACCTAAACAAGGACAGGAATCCAGGACTGATTACCCCTCACATTCCTTCTCTTTTCATTGTATCAGCTCAACTCATTTAATTCATGCAAGATATAGATAAATACTATGCTAGGGTCCTGTTTGAATTTCTATGGCAGAAAAAGACAGAACCTGTGACATGACCCTATATCTGCTATGTAATTGATCAGGCAAGTATTAGTGAAAGGAACTACAGGATGTGGTAGGTCACCATGCAGCACATGGCCATTTCTGTGGCTGGAGCAATAGCAGGGGGTGTAATGGCATTCTCCTCCTGCAGTGCACCCCAGATGTCAGCACAAAGTAGGCAATTCCTGCAAACAGTCCCCTGGAGCCAGGGCCGAGGTCCTTGATTGTGGCTATCCTTCTCCTGCTAATGACTTTTTCAAGCTACTTTCCCTCTCTCTACCTCTGTTCCCTGATTGCTGGGGGCTTTTCCAACTCTTTTGCTCAACCTCATTAAGAAATGCATGGATATATTTTTCTATACCAGCATTTAAGTATTTCCCCCATGATCCGTAGGAATGGTTTCCTGGAAAGACTTTGCATGGATTTTCCACTGCCTGCTGCCCTTACTAGCACTTGGGAAACTGCTATTTTTTTCTTCCTGGTTGCATTTGCCACTTACCCTACTGAAAACAGAAATTAAGACTTTAGACAGCTGCTTACTACATAAAATTTTCAAATAAAATATTCCTATTATATTCTCTTAGGGAAAAAGTTCACTCGATTAGATTAGCAAAACTAACATAAATATGAAGTAATGCCAGTGGCTGCTTGCAGAAGGTGTTTTTAACTTTCCATTTGACTTAAGCGTCCAGTGCATTGAGGTGTCTGTGACACTCTGTTCTGTGTCACATTTGTGAGCAGGATGATGTTGTAATGCTCCCGTAATGGCTAATATTATGTTAATGGAGATGGATGCCAATGTGTACACATATATATTTAGTCAGGTGGAGGCATTCCCAACTTGTAATGTAATCTGTGTGGTTTAAGAATTCACACATAAAAATGGAACAAGGAGGATTCAGCTGTGATTCTGGACTCTGCCTTTGCCCTTGTAGGAATATTTGACATTATTCTCTCACAATGGCCATTTTTCACTCTCTTGAGGAGAAAACAAAAATACTCCAACTAAATTAATGAATGTTTAGAACTCCAGTTCAGTCTTTCAAAAGGTCTAGGATGGTGCTGGGGAGGTGAAGTTGTCTGTGAGGTGGGATGGCAGGTCACTTCTCCTGGATGTGGTCTACTTGGTCACAGCCACATGACACTGAGCAAAAGGGGTAAGTGGGACAATACCAGGATAATCCAGGGGATTAACCTACCTCCTTCACCTGTGTAAGCAAGAACAGAAAGATAAAGGATCAGGAGTAAAAGACTTACCTCTGCTGCAGACTTCTTAGGTGGCTTTGGAGGAATCACTAAACTTCTCAATTTTCTCATCTATCAAAAACTTGGGACCCTCTGCTGTGGCCTTCCTCTGAGTTGTTCAAATAAAACAATTCTGTGAAAGTGCTGGTATCAATGAAATGATTTACAAAATGATGGGATTATGTAAAACAGTGACTGAAGTGGATAACTGGAGCTTGCAGAGCCCTCTCTGACCCAAGGCCAGATGTTTGCGTAACCTCTCCCTGGGTCAGCAGGCCTATGCAACACTTCTGGAGGAGGCATCGTGCAACACCACCTTTCTGTTACAACCCCACCTCCAATTCCTATCTCAGCCATCTGCGGCATATCTGACATGTTTGAAGAGCAGACACCTCTTACCAGACACTTTCTTATAATGTTACAGGATCATAATTTTAAATTATAGAACACAGAATCCAATCATTTTTATAGTCAGTAAATCTCATGTGGAAGCAGAAATGCCTCCTGATGCACCAAAATGTCAGTCTCTGAAGGCTCCTTTCCCCATGTAGAGGATGCCATGGGAGTCAGTCTTCCTGGCTAGATTTTTTTCTTCTCCTGTGTGGCATGCCTTTATTCTTGCTAATCCTGATATTTGTCTTCCAAAGCCTTGCACGTAGGCATCATCTCTACAACTTCTGAGATTCACAGGCCATGTTTATATTTTGCATCATGGAGATGATAGATTTTTAAAATTTCCTCTGACTCTAACATTCACAGCCATATAACTTGGTAGAAGTCACCTAGTCCAGTCCGGGCCTGGGCCACCCTCATGAGAAGTCAGTGAGATGAGATTTTGTGATCTATAGAATAAAGGAGAAGATGGAATCTGGACACAAATTATACAGATAATTGAGGGTATTTTGACCAAGATAGCCCTTGCATCTGAGTGAAGAATCAGGAAGATTTTATGTCTGAATGAGTAACAGTTAATTTGGCCTTCTCATTCACTTTGTGTAGATGCATGCCTATATAAGTGAGATTCCAGGAGGCAAGCAGGTAGTTTTAGCTAGATTCAAGAAAGAACGTCCAACAGTGAGAATGAGGTGCAATTTCATGGGCTACATGAAAGGCAGGGCCCACTTTAACACAGGAATGGTTTGATGAGAGCTGTACAATCAGCTGGCAAAGATGTTATAGCTATAATTTTCATTGGGATAGAAAGTATTGGAGTAGAGGTTGAATCAAACATTCTAGGCAGTTGCTTGCAAGGCTGAGATATTTTCACTCACTAAATAGGTGGCCAGAGGAGTAGTTCTCTCTCAGAAACACACACACATGCCACCACCACCATCACCACCACAAGGCGCAGAAGCTTTGTACAAGTTCTAAAACTTAAAGCCTCTCCATAGAGATCAGACCCCTGCCCAGGAAAACACTGAACAATGGCAGATATTCAAGGGAATTTTGCTTATTGGTAATTAGCTAACTTGTTTGTCAGAAGACCAGTACGAAAGGAGGAAAGAAGACATCTTTGCAGGGGGAGGAGAGGGAGGGAAGATACAAGAAAACAACTAGGAGACACATTTTACCTTTTGGCCTTATTCAAACACTGTGTAGTGGGCCCCAGGAATCTAGTTCTGGAGCTAGTCCATCAAGTAAGCCTTCGAAAAGTTTGCACAAAAGATTCTTAAGTAAGCTCATAAATGTGACACCAAGCAAATACTTGGCAAAATTTAGCCAAGTCATAAAAAAAGTTGCTGGGGCCATACAGCAACATTACCTGAGCTGGAAAAAGCTTGTCTGTAGGGCTTCTCTACCCATAATTAGGGATCAGGTAAGTGACAGAGATTTCAAGCTTTATTTAATTTGGTCCTGGACCAGTTCTTTCTGGTCTCTAGACTCTTGTCATAAAGGGGAACCAATATAAAATAGGACAAGACCAAAGAAAACATGTGAACTTTTTATTATAGAAATGTGAACTTTTTATGGAAGAATCTGGCCTGATGTGAACACATCACTGCTGTGGAAGCTGGGCACTGGGCTCCAGGTCATGGGCTGTTCTTGGAATTATCTTGACTGCATTCTTCTCTCAATTATTTTGTTTGTAATTAAATAACTAGAATCTTCTATTCAGTCCCTGATCAGAAATGGTCACTGCCAGAGAAAGTAGATGTGGAGGATGGCTCAACCTGACATTATAAAAACCTGAGTATTAGTTTCTTAGGCTGCCGTAACAAAGTACCACAAACTGAGTGGCTTAAGTAACGCACATTTATCATCCAACAGCTCTGGAAGCTGGAAGTCTGAGATCTACATGTTGGCAGGGATGGTTCCTTTGAGGGGCTGTGAGGGAGCAGCTGTTTCATCCCTTTCACTGAATTCCTAGTGGTTTTCTGGAAGTCTCTGGTGTTCTTCGGCATGTTGAAGCAGCATCCTGGTCTCTGGCTTCATCTTCACATGATGTTCGCCTTGTGTGTGTCTATGTCCAAATTCCTCCTTCTCATAGAGGACACTGTCATCTTGGGTTAGGCCTTCCTAATGACCTCATTTTTACTTGATTACCTCTAAAAAATGCCTATCTCCAAATAAGGTCACATTGTGAGGTACTGCGGGTTAGAACATCACCATGTGAATTGGGGGTGTGGGAGGGGTACAGTTCCACCAATAACAACCTGATTTCTAAAGCCAAAACAGAAGGGAGATATTGTTCATTGAAGTTTTTAATCCTGTGGAAAGAAATAATTTACAAAGCCCTGGTGAAGATGATGATTATAGCACTTCAGAAGCACCACTTTAATAATCTACTTTTGTGTGTTATTAGGCTTATTGTTCATTGCCCCCTGTGTAAAAAGTCTCATTTGAGAAATTTATAGTATAGGTAATGCCAAGAAAGACCTAGGTTGACCTCATCCTTTTTGATAATAAGGACTAAGTAATTTACCACGTTTCATTTCTTTCTGAGGTTACCTTCTAGTAAATCTCAGAGCCAAACGTGGTACTCAGTCCTGGTTCCTTCATTTATTTCTCCCTCTTTTGTTGAACTTGGTTTTCAGTTCCTGTTTTTCTGCTTTTGCACGTGATCTTAATGTGCCTCTGGCCAGCTGTATCCCAGACTTACTGGAGAGAGATGGGTGCACTTTGATGCAGTGAAAAGACCAACCCCAATGTCACTACTGCCTCTTCTGCTTACAACTCCTGGAGCTACCATCCATTTATGTCCTTCTCAGTGAGGTTTGCCCAAGCATTTGGTAAACTATATCTTTCAATTTACCTCCAAGCTTCCATCTCCCTGCCAGAGCTTTTGAAAACAGTGGTTAACCCTGCTTAGAGCATGGAGCTGTTCACTCCCTTGAGTCAGATTTTTATTTGAAAAGAAATTCAGCCTTAATAGTGCAGTACCACAAAATACAAAAGCAACTTCTTTGTGTGACAAACAACAATGAATGAGCAAAATGTCCTGTTTGTGCTTAAACAATCTTTGGAGAAGACAGCTGTCGTTTCTCTGAGACAGGAGACATCTAAAATACAGGGAAACACACACACCACCACCACCACCACTAATACTAACAATAACAAACTATGAATTCATAGTTCAATGTTTTTTTGGGGTTCCTTTGTATCACACTGAGGGGATCATAAAATAAAATATTTGATTAAAATCTTTAATTTATGAATACCTCATTAGGCATCTGAAACTGGAATTTACCTCAAGAATTTTACTTGGGGTTTGACATTTTTTGAATCATAACATGGGATTGTGAAGTTTAGTCACTGTTGATTCAAGTTTGCGGACAACAATAAAATGAAGAGGCTTAGTTCTTAGCACATTGAATTAGGGATTCAAACTCTGTGTGTTTGTTCTGTGTTGCAAACTCATTTGTCCATTGGATTTTTAAGATCTAAATTGGTATTTAGCTACACCTATACCCTTTTCAGTTTATTAAAATTTATAAATCATATATTTTTATTTCTAGAAAGTCTTTTTGCTTGGTCTCTAAATGACTTGCTTTCAGAGTATATCTTATTTTTAAAGTTCTTTTTGAACTCTTGCATCTATTCAATGTCAGTAGAAGTCATCTCTTCTAAAGGCACATCCTTATCCCTGAAAATCCTTAAATATGTTGTTATAAATTTTTTTGCTTGCTCATTTTTCTCTATAATTAATTTCAGCAAAGGCACCATCAGGTTGGAAGGTCTGTGAAAGAGTAGGGAGCAAGAGAAGGGTGGAAGGCACAGCCATGTCTCCTCCCGTGAGCCAGCTGTGAGCATGCCAGACAACCTGACTCTGCTGCTGGGGCACTAACTGAAGGCCTCTCCACAGCTAGTCTCAGCCTAATAGAGTCAGTGCAGAGGCAATAGGACCCATTTGGCCTGGTCATATTCTAGGAGAATTGACAACCTGTAGCTTCAGTCATGTTTACACCTTCCAGAGAGGATGGTGGGAGAGAAAGGAAATCAGGAAGGCATGCTCAAGTTTCCATCATTTAAATCTCTGTCCAGATTTTGATGAGTTCCAGGAAAAAAAAAAATGGCAGCTGTGAATCGAAAGCATTTTGCACCATGTCAAAGTGGAGTTCATCTTAAAAAATGTATAAATATTCAACATCAAGACACCTACCTGCATAATTCTTTGTGCAAACAAATCAGAAGGAAAAAACTGCAGGCGATCATGTAGATAGGTACAGAAATGTCATTGTTAAGATTTAGGGGGACCAGCAATTCCTAACAAGAACCCTAACAAAAGTGGAAATAAAAAATGAAGATTAGTTATAGACAAAATTTGTTAATAGTTATATATAGTTAGTTATAACATATCAAATATTGAAATGTTAAAGCCATTTTCCATAAAATTAAGAACAAAATGCAGATGGCAGCTATATTTCTCATAAGAAATGCAGCTTTGGAGACGATTTCAACCTTCATAAGACCATAACATAAAATCATTTATAAAATGCTAAAGAAAAAAATCAAAGAATATGAAATCACCTGTGTCAGAAAATACTATTTGAATAAAAACAATTGCTAGCATGCTACATTAGTTTTCTATGCTGGGTAACAAATTATACAAATTTGGAGACTTGAAATGATATGTGGTTATTATCTCACAGTTTCTGTGGATCAGAGTACTGATATAGCTTATTCAATCCTCTGCTGAGGGTCTCATGAGACTACATTCCAGGTGTTAGTCAAGCTGTGTCCTCATCTATAGGCTCAACAGTGGAAGAAACTGCTTCCAAGATCACTCAAGTAGTTGCCAGAATGTATTTCCTTGTAGTTATTGACTATGGCAGCTTGCTACTTCAAAATAAGCAATGGAGAGAGAGAGAGAAAGAGAGAGAGAGAGAGAGAGAATGTCTAGAGTGAATTGACTAGTTAGACACAGTTTTATGTTATCTCACATGCTGAAGAGAGTGACACTTCATTGCCTTTGCAATTGGTCAGAAGCAGGTCACAGTTTCTGCCTATACTCAAGGAGAGGGGGTACATGAATACCAGGAGACAGGGACCATGAAGCCCATCTTAAAGTTCCATACCCCAGGAAAACAGTTTAGCAGTTACTTAAAAAGTTAAACAAAGGATTGTCATATGACCCAGCAATTCCACTTGTACATGCATACCCACAGCAACACTATTCATAATAGCCCAAAGTAAAGACAATCTGTATTAGTCAGGGTTCTCTAGAGGGACAGAACTAATAGGATATATGCATATATGAAGGGGAGTTTATTAAGAAATATTGACTCACACGATCACAAGGTGAACTCTCAAAATATGCCATCTACAAGGTAAGGAACAAGGAAGCCAGTCTGAGTCCCAAAACCTCGAAAGCAGGGAAGCCGACAGTGCAGCTTTCAGTCTGTGGCTGAAGGCCTGAGAGCCCCTGGCAAACCACTGGTGTAAAGTCCAAGAGCCCAAAAGCTGAAGAACTTGGAGTCTGATGTTCGTGGGCAGGAAGCATGCAGCACGGGAGAAAGATGAAGGCTGGAAGACTTAGCAAATCGGCCTCTCCCACCTTCTTCCACCTTCTTCTTCCTGCTTTACTCTAGCCGCACTGGCCGTTGATTGGATGGTGCCCACCCACACTGAAGGTGGGTCTGCCTCTCCCAGTCCATTGACACAATTATTAATCTCCTTTGGCAACACCCTCACAGACACACCCAGGAACAATACTTTGAATCCTTCAATCCAATCAGGTTGACACTTAATACTAAACATACACAATCCAAAGATCCATCAACTGATACATAGACAAAATGTGGTATGTACATACAATTATTCAGTCTTAAAGAATGAAGCAGTATAACATACTGCGACATAAAAGAACCTTGAAAACATCATGCTAGGTGAAAGAATCCAGTCACAACAGGCCATGTATAGTACAATTCTGTTTATATGAAATGTCTAGATCAGTCAAATCCATACAGAAAGAATGTAGATCAGTGACTAAGAGAGGTTGGGGTTGAGAGGAATTGTTCTGACTGACAATAAATACAGGTTTCTTTTCGGAATGAAGGAAACATCCTGGAATTAGATAGTGTTGATGGTTGCACAACGTAGTGAATATACTAAAAGCACTTAACTATTTGTACATCCTCTATGTGTATGTGTGTGTGTTTTTGTTTTTTTGTTTTTTTGTTTGTTTGTTTTTTTAGACAAATTCTCTCTCTCTTGCCCAGGCTGGAGTGTGCAGTGGTGCAATCTCGGCTCACTGCAACCTCCGCCTCCTGGATTCAAGCCATTCTCCTGCCTCAGCCTTCGGAGTAGCTGGAATTACAGGGGCATGCCACCACGTCCAGCTAATTTTGTATGTTTAGTAGAGATGAGGTTTCACCATGTTGGCCAGGCTGGTCTCAAACTCCTGAACTCAAGTGATCCGCACACTTCGGACTCCAAAGTGCTAGGATTACAGGCGTGAGCCACCGTGCCCAGCTTATTTGGACATCTTAAAACGTATGAAAACAAATGTTATGTTGTGTAAATTATATTTGAATTTTTTTAACAACTCTATACCACATACATGCCTAATTAATGTATACATATACAAAATTAACTTTTTTTTAAAACTTTAAGTTCTAGGGTACATGTGCACAACATGCAGGTTTGTTACATAGGTATGCATGTGCCATGTTAGTTTGCTGCACCCATCAACTCGTCATTTACATTAGATATTTGTCCTAATGCTATCCTTCCCCCAGCACCCCACCCCCCAACAGGCCCTGGTGTGTGATGTTCCCCTTCCTGTGTCCATGTGTTCTCATTGTTCAACTCCCACCTATGAGTGAGAACACGCAGTGTTTGGTTTTCTGTTCTTGTGATAGTTTGCTGAGAATTATGGTTTCCAGCTTCATCCATGTCCCTGCAAAGGACATAAACTCATCCTTTTTTATGGCTGCATAGTATTCCATGGGGGGTATATGTGCCACATTTTCTTAATCCAGTCTATCATTGATGGACATTTGGGTTGGTTCCAAGTCTTTGCTATTGTGAGTAGTGCTGCAATAAACATACGTGTGCATGTGTCTTTATAGTAGCATGATTCATAATCCTTTGGGCATATACCGAGTAATGGGATCACTGGGTCAAATGGTATTTCTAGTTCTAGATCCTTGAGGAGTCGCCATACTGTCTTCTACAATGGTTGAAGTAATTTACACTCCCATAAACACTGTAAAGGTGTTCCTATTTCTCCACACCCTCTCCAGCATCTGTTGTTTCCTGACTTTTTAATAATTGCCATTTTAACTGGCATAAGATGGTATCTCATTGTGGTTTTGATTTGTAATTCTCTGATGTACGAGTGATGATGAGCATTTTTTCATGTGTCTGTTGGCTGCATAAATGTCTTCTTTTGAGAAGTGTCTGTTCATATCCTTTGCCCACTTTTTGATGGAGTTGTTTTTTCTTGTAAATTTGTTTAAGTTCTTTGTATATTCTGTATATTAGCCCTTTGTCAGATGGGTAGATTGCAAAAATTTTCTCCCATTCTGTAGGTTGCCCATTCACTCTGATGGTAGTTTCTTTTGCTGTGCAGAAGCTCTTCAGTTTAATTAGATCTCATTTGTCAATTTTGGCTTTTGTTGCCATTGCTTTTTGTGTTTTAGTCATGAAGTCTTCACCCATGCCTATGTCCTGAATGGTATTGCCTCGGTTTTCTTCTAGGGTTTTTATGGTTTTGGGTCTTGAGTTAATTGTTGTATAGGGTATAAGGAAGGGATCCAGTTTCAGCTTTCTACATATGGCTGGCCGGTTTTCCCAGCACCATTTATTAAATAGGGGATCCTTTCCCTATTGCTTATTTTTGTCAGGTTTGTCAAAGATCTGATGGTTGTAGATGTGTGGTGTTATTTCTGAGGCCTCTGTTCTCTTCCATGGGTCTATATATCTGTTTTGGTACCAGTACCATGCTGTCTTGGTTACTGTAGCCTTGTAGTAACAAAGTTTGACAAACATTTTATTTAGTAACAAGTGGTAAAAATTGACAAAAAAAAAGTTTGAAGTCAGGTAACATGATGCCTCCAGCTTTGTTCTTTTGGCTTAGGATTGTCATGGCTATGTGGGCTATTTTTTGGTTCCATATGGAGTTTAATGTAGTTTTTCCAGTTCTGTGAAGAAAGTCATTGGTAGCTTGATGGGGATAGCATTGAATCTATAAATTACCTTGGGCAGTATGGCCATTTTCATGATATTGATTCTTCCTATCTATGAGCATGGAATGTTCTTCCATTTGTTTGTGTCCTCTTTTATTTCATTGAGCAGCAGTTTGCAGTTCTCCTTGAAGAGGTCCTTCATTTCCCTTGTAAGTTGGATTTCTAGGTATTTTATTCTCTTTGTAGCAATTGTGAATGGGAGTTTCACTCATGATTTGGCTCTCTGTTTGTCTGTTATTGGTGTATAGGAATGCTTGTGATTTTTGCACATTGATTTTGTATCGAGACTTTGCTGAAGCTGCTTATAAGCTTAAGGAGATTTGGGGCTGAGACAATGGGGTTTTCTAAATATACAATCATGTCGTCTGCAAACAGAGACAATGTGACTTCCTCTTTTCCTAATTGAATACCCTTTATTTCTTTCTTTTGCCTGATTACCCTGGCCAGAACTTCCAACACTATGTTGAATAGGAGTGGTGAGAGAGGTCATCCTTCTCTTGTGCAGGTTTTCAAAGGGAATGCTTCCAGTTTTTGCCCATTCAGTATGATATTGGCTGTGGGTTTGTCATAAATAGCTCTTATTATTTTGAGATACATTCTATCAATACCTTTTCTGCATCTATTGAGATAATCGTGTGGTTTTTGTCGTTGGTGGTTGGTTCTGTTTATGGGATGGATTACATTTATTGATTTGCGTATGTTGAACCAGCCTTGCATCTCAGGGATGAAGCCGACTTGATCGTGGTGGATAAGCTTTTTGATGTGCTGCTGGATTTGGTTTGCCAGTATTTTATTGTGGATTTTCGCATTGATGTTCATCAATCTCTTTTTTTTTGTTGTGTCTCTGCCAGGCTTTGGTATCAGGATAATGCTGGCCTCTTAAAATGAGTTAGGGAGGATTCCCTCTTTTTCTGTTGATTGGAATAGTTTCAGATGGAATGGTACTAGCTTCTCTTTGTACCTCTGGTAGAATTCGGCTGTGAATCCGTCTGGTCCTGGACTTGTTTTGTTGGTAGGCTATTAATTATTGCCTCAATTTCATAACCTGTTATTGGTCTATTCAGAGATTCAACTTCTTCCTGGTTTAGTCTTGGGAGGGTGTATATGTCCAGGAATTTGTCCATTTCTTCTAGATTGTCTAGTTTATTTGTATAGAGGTGTTTATCATATTCTCTGATGGTAGTTTGTATTTCTGTGGGATCGGTAGTGATATCCTCTTTATCATTTTTTATTGCTGTCTGTTTGATTCTTCTCTCTTTTCTTATTTATTAGTCTTGCTAGCAGTCTATCTATTTTGTTGATCTTTTCAAAAAACCAGCTCCTGGAATCACTGATTTTTTTTGAAGGGTTTTTTGTGTCTCTATCTCCTTCAATTCTGCTCTAATCTTAGTTATTTCTTGCCTTCTGCCAGCTTTTGAATTTGTTTGCTCTTGCTTCTCTAGTTCTTCTAATTGTGATGTTAGGGTGTCGATTTTATATCTTTCCTGCTTTCTCTTGTGGGCATTTAGTGCTATAAATTTTCCTCTACACACTGCTTTAAATGTGTCTCAGAGATTTTGGTATGTTGTGTCTTTGTTCTCATTGGTTTCAAAGAACATCTTTATTTTTGCCTTCATTTCGTTATTTGTCCAGTAGTCATTCAGGAGCAGGTTGTTCAGTTTCCATGTAGTTGTGTGGTTTTGAGTGAGTTTCTTAATCCTGAGTTCTAATTTGATTGCACTGTGGTCTGAGAGACAGTTTGTTGTGATGTCTGTTCTTTTACATTTGCTGAGGAGTGCTTTTCTTCCAATTATGTGGTCAATTTTAGGATAAGTGTGATGAGGTGCTGAAAAGAATGTATATTCTGTTGATTTGGGGTGGAGAGTTCTGTAGATGTCTATTAGGTCAGCTTGGTGCAGAGCTGAGTTCAAGTCCTGGATATCCTTGTTAACCTTCTGTCTTGTTGATCTGTCTAATATTGACAGTGGGTGTTAGAGTCTCCCATTATTATTGTGTGGGAGTCTAAGTCTCTTTGTAGGTCTCTAAGCACTTGCTTTTTGAATCAGGGTACTCCTGTATTGGGTGTATATATGTTTAGGATAGTTAGCTCTTTTTATTGAATTGATTTTTTGCCATTATTTAATGACCTTCCTTGTCTCTTTTGATCTTTGTTGGTTTAAATTCTGTTTTATCAGCGACTAGGATTGCAACGCCTGCTTTTTTTTTTTTTTTTTTTTGCTTTCCTTTTGCTTGGTAGATCTTCCTCCATCCCTTTATTTTGAGCCTATGTGTGTCTCTGCACGTGAGATGGGTCTCCGGATTACAGCACTCTGATGGGTCTTGACTCTTTATCCAATTTGCCAGTCTGGGTCTTTTAATTTGGGCATTTAGCCCATTTACATTTAAGGTTAATATTGTCATGTGTGAATTTGATCCTGTCATTATGATGTTAGCTGATTATTTTGCCCATTGATTGATGCAGTTTCTTTATAGCATCAATGGTCTTTATAATTTGGCATGTTTTGGAAGTGGCTGGCACCGGTTGTTCCTTTCCATGTTTAGTGCTTCGTTCAGGAGCTCTTGTAAGGCAGGCCTGGTGGTGACAAAATCTCTCAGCATTTCCTTGTCAGTAAAGGATTTTATTTTTCCTTCACTTATGAAGCTTAGTTTGGCTGGATATGAAATTATGGTTTGAAAATTCTTTTCCTTAAGAGTGTTGAATTGTGGCCCCCTCTCTCTTCTGGCTTGTAGGGTTTCTGCTGAGAGATCCACTGTTAGTCTGATGGGCTTCCCTTTGTGGGTAAGCCAAACTTTCTCCCTATCTGCCCTTAACATTTTTTCCTTCATTTCAACTTTGGTGAATCTGACAATTATGTGTCTTGGGGTTGCTCTTCTCAAGAATCTTTGTGGTGTTCTCTGTATTTCCTGAATTTGAATGTTGGCCTGCCTTGCTAGGTTGTGGAAGTTCTCCTGGATAATATCCTGAAGAGTATTTTCTAACTTGGTTCCATTTTCCCCGTCACTTCCAGGTACCCCAATTAAATGTAGATTTGGTCTTTTCACATAGTCCCATATTTCTTGGAGGCTTTGTTTTTTTTCACTCTTTCTTCTCTAATCTTGTCTTCTCACTTTATTTCATTTGATCTTCAATCACAGATACCCTTTCTTCCTCTTGATCGAATCAGCTATTGAAGCTTGTGCCTGCATCATGAAATTCTCGTGCTATGATTTTCAGCTCCATCAAGTCATTTAAGGTCTTCTCTACACTGTTTATTCTACTTAGCCATTCGTCTAACCTTTTTTCAAGGTTTTTAGCTTCCTTGTGATGGGTTAGAACAAGCTCCTTTAGCTTGAAGAAGTTTGTTTTTACTGATCTTCTGAAACCTACTTCTGTCAACTCGTCAAACTCATTCTCCCTCCAGTTTTGTTCTGTTGCTGGAGAGGAGCTGCATTCCTTTGGAGGAGAAGAGGTGCTATGGTGTTTAGAATTTTCAGCTTTTCTGCTCTGATTTCTCCCCATCTTTGTGGTTTTTATCTACCTTTGGTCTTTGATGTTGGTGACTTACAGATGGGGTTTGGTGTGGATGTCCTTTTTGTTGATGTTGATGCTATTCCTTTCTGTTTGTTAGTTTTCCTTCTAACAGGCCCCTCAGCTGCAGGTCTGTTGGAATTTTCTGGAGGTCCACACCAGACCCTGTTTGCCTGGGTATCACCAGCAGAGGCTGCAGAACAGCAAATATTTCAGAACCACAAATATTGTTGCCTGATTTTACCTCTGGAAATTTCATCCCAGAGGGGCACCCACCTGTATGAGGTGTCTGTCAGCCTCTACTGGGAGGTGTCTCCCAGTCATGCTACATGGGGGTCAGGGACCCACTTGAGGAGGCAGTCTGTCTGTTCTCAGAGCTCAAACGCTGTGCTGGGAGAACCACTGCTCTCTTCAGAGCTATCAGACAGGTATGTTTAAGTGTGCAGAAGTTGTCTGCTGCCTTTTGTTCAGCTATGCCCTGCCCAGAGAGGTGGAATCTAGAGAGGCAGTAGGCCTTGCTGAGCTGCGGTGGGCTCCACCCAGTTCGAGCTTCCCTGCAGCTTTGTTTACCTACTCAAGCCTCAACAATGGCAGATGCCCCACCCCCGCCAGGCTGCAGCCTTGCTGGTGGATCTCAGACTGCTGTGCTAGCAGTGAGCAAGGCTCCGTGGGCGTGGGACCTGCTGAGCCAGGCATGGGAGGGAATCTCCTTGTCTGCTGGTTGCAAAGACAATGGGAAAAGTGCAGTATTTGGGCAGAAGTGTACTGTTCCTCCAGGTACAGTCTGTCACAGCTTCCCTTGGCTAGGAAAGGGAAATCCCCCAACCCCTTGCACTTCCTGCATGAGGTGATGCCCCACCCTGCTTTGGCTCACCCTCCATGGGCTGCACCCACTGTCCCACCAGTCCCAGTGAGATGAACCAGGTACCTCATTTGGAAATGCAGAAATCTCTCGTCTTCTGTGTCGATCTCACTGGGAGCTGCAGACTGGAGCTGTTCCTATTTGGCCATCTTGGAAGCGACCTGGAAACTTCTATTCCAAAATTAACTTTTCAATATAATAGAAACATCCCATTAGAAATAAAGGAAAACTATATTCATAAGAGTAATAAAATGTTTAATTATCTATGATTCATTTTAACAAGAATAGGAAGATCTATGAAGAAAATGATAAGAAATAATAGTATCAAATACCAGTATTTACAAAATTGATGCTTAATACAAAATAACTAAAATCTTAATGAACTTTTAAAACTAGATACATATTTTTAAAGTCATTATGAAATAATCAATGTGTAAAAATAGCTAAGAAAATTATGATAAGAAAATTCCTGGAGAGTAAAACTTAATTTAAAAACTTCCTATAAACAAAATAGTGTGTTCTTGACCCATTTATTCAGTGGAACAGAATTAAAGGTTTTGAAATAGATTCAAGTAAAAATGAGAAGGTAATATGGTATTTTGTTTCAGTGGATAAAGAGTGTTTATTTAAAAAATGATTCAGATATACAGGCAAGATTAAAGCAAATTGAGGTCCTTTACCTCATATATATATGATATTTTATATATATTATATATGATATTTTATATATATGATATTATATATATCCATAGTCCATGTTGATTAAATATATAGGAAAAGAAGAAGGAAAAATGCATTAGAAAAAGCTAGGGGAAATATCTCATTACGGAAGGAAAGAAAGAAACTCGGGTAAAAACAATAGTAGATATTTCTGATCATAGTAGGTTAAATATGTATAATGATGGATATATATACTAACTATGTTATATAACAATATGCATTAACTATACACACAAATATATCAATATATATGTAAACTAAATGTTATTGACAGATGTGTATGCTTAAAAAATAGACAGATAATACATAAGTAGAAGTTTTTCTGACTTCTCAGACAGGAAAAGAGTTAATATTGCTAAAATCTTGAGAGTGTATTCAAGCCCATCAGAGAAAAACACAACTCAAAAGAAAAATGGACAGATGTGAATAGGAAAGTCAAAGAAGATTAATCCAAGCAGACTATACACATATTGAATGATGCCAACCCTCACTAGTATTGAGGGAAAGGCAAATTAAAGCAGCAATAAGATAATATTTTTCACCATTAGACTCTAAAAATTAAAGTGATCATACCCAGTAGTTATAACTTTTTGAAAAATACAACTCATTAGAGCACCTTTATTAACTCCAGAAATAGACTATATAAAATAGAAAGATTAGTTTAAAATCAGCACTGTGCTGGTAAGGGCAGCCACGATTCCAGAAACATTAATTGCTGGGTAGACTCATTACTGATTAGATAAGAAACCTCAAACACCATTAGACAATTGTGATTAAATGTATGTCGTTCTAATTGAATGCATTGTTTATTGCCTTCTACTGAATCAGCAGGTCACCTGCCTGTTTTGTATATTTGAAAAGGGCACATCCATGCAGATCTTAGGTTCCCTGTTGTATGACATACTCCTTCACCACCTTCAAATACTACCTTTTAGGTTATAACATTTAGAAAAGAAAGTGGCACTTCCACTTCACCTGCTCAGCAAGTGAATTCCTATAACATCTTGTAGAGTGATGAATAAACAATTATTAGAAAAAATATCACATGCTTTTCATTCAGCAATCCCACTTTGAGACTATCTTCTATGAAAATAGGAGCATCATATTTAAGGACGTTAATGGAAGCATTATTATTATTATTATTATTATTTTTGAGACTGAGTCTCACTCTGTCATCCAGGCTGGAGTGCAGTGGTGCAATTTCGGCTCACGGCAAACTCCGCCTCCCGGGTTCATGCCATTCTCCTGCCTCAGCCTCCCGAGTAGCTGGGACTACAGGTGCCCGCCACCACACCCGGCTAATTTTTTGTATTTTTAGTAGAGATGGGGTTTCACTGTGTTAGCCAGGATGGTCTCGATCTCCTGACCTTGTGATCCTCCCGCCTCGGCCTTACAAAGTGCTGGGATTACAGGCGTGAGACACCGCGCCCGGCCTGGAAGCATTATTTTTAATAGCAACATATTGGAAATATGAACACTCATCAGTAGTTGTGCTTTCAAGAATCATGTAATATCCATCACATAGAACATTATGCAGCTATCCAAAAAAATGATTCAGACCCTGTCATCCTAAATGGATGCCTGTAATGCTTAATGAAAGAAGCAAGTTATCTAGTATTTTCATTATTTTTGTAAAAATAAAACACAGCATAATGACTACACCAAATGCTTTCATCTGTGAATGTGTGGTCTAGCTATGTTCTTTCTCAGCCATGGGGAAGGGTGAGCACTGACCCTAACAGAGTATTGATATTTGTTGCCTTAAATCTGTAAGAAAAGTGAAATGGGAAGAGAGGGAAGTTATCTCCTTTTTTTGCTGTATCTTGCTTTCTTCTACCAGCTATAATGGGTTTGTGTTATTTTGCCGTACAAAGAAAGAAACAGAAAATGTAAAAGAACAGTATCTTTGGTTGGCTGATAACTTTTCCCAGTTATTTATGTACTTCTTTTTGTTTTGTAGTTCTTACTGCATTTAGATGTATTTTCAAAATGGAGCAGAGATAAATGTAAATTCTTTTTCTTTATTTGAACCAGAAGCCTAGATTTTGTTTTAAATAATCACTCTGGTCAAACTTCTATTATCTCCCACTTGGTGGGACAGAGCCCCTATGAATAAAATTAGCCCCATGTGGAGAAAGAAAGGGTGTTCTGAGTTGGGCTGGCCTGGCAGTAACTGAGAGAGGTTTGGGGAAATGCGATTGCACCAGGCAAAGACCTTTCAAGGACAATCAAAATTGAAAACTCGAGCAGACAAACCCTGTGTGGTTTTCCCAAACGTACTTGGAAAAGGAGAGGTGTCTTCCAGCCCAGGTCCTGGGCATGGCTTCTGTCTCACTCTGCAAGAGACATAAAAATTTCCCCACAAGCTGAGAGGACCTCAAGGCCTTTTCCCAGTATATGAAGTGTGATGGAGAGAAAATATTATTTTGGAACAAAGCCTTGGCATGTGTTGTTGGAAGAGCTTCTGTAGCATGAGAAATAATCTTTCTCTCTAAACATGTGAAATACTTCTCCAATAAAATCATTCAAGCCTAGAGTTTGTTGTTATTGTTTATTTTTCTGTTTTGGGGTAGTTAAACACTTTTTCCTTGATTGTTTTTTATTTAGGCTTTACATTCCAAGTTGAGTTTGTTTGCTAACAAAAAGGGTTTTCAGTTCACTTCATCAGTATTTCATATTTATTAGAAAAAACTAATATCCTTTGTAACATAGAGTTTTGTTTTCCCATTTTGGTTGTAATTCTGTCATATTTGCCTAGTTTTCAAAAAGTTTATATATAATTTGTTGTTGGTTATTTACAAAGTGTCATCTATTGTATTATTAGTTCTACTCTTTATTTCTAATTTATACACTGTTATGGTTAACTTAATTATTTTCTTTGTCCTACTATCCTTAGTAGTCTTTCATGGTTTTTAAAAATTCCAATTTATTTATTTTTGGCAATGAATGCATTAAATGCTACATATTGACCACTGATATAATTTTGGCTACTTAGTATTGGGAGAGTCATTTTCTAATTTTTTTCTCACTTTTATGTTTAGTGTCTCTGTGCTTCCTTGGCGGCTCAATTTGCTACTTGATGAAATATAAACTGCAGTAGGCCTGTCTTTCAGTCATGGTCTGTGGGCAATACCCTGAAAATGTCTTTATTTTGCTTCCATTCTTGAATCATGGTTTAACTGGTATACAGTTCTATGTTAAGATATATTGGCCAGACGCGGTGGCTCATGCCTGTAATCCCAGCACTTTGGGAGGCCGAGGCGGGCGGATCATGAGGTCAGGAGATCGAGACCATCCTGGGTAACGCGGTGAAACCCCGTCTCTACTAAAAATACAAAAAAATTAGCCGGGCGTGGTGGCGGGCGCCTGGAGTCCCAGCTACTGGGAAGGCTGAGGCAGGAGAATGGCGTGAACCCGGGAGGCGGAGCTTGCAGTGAGCCGAGATCACACTACTGTACTCCAGCCTGGGCGACAAAGCCAGGCACTGTCTAAAAAAAAGAAAAAAAAAAAAGATATATTTCGTCAGCACTTTGAAGTGATTTTTTTCATTGTCCTTTGAAATCCCTTGCTGCTGATGTGAAGTCCGCTAGTTTGCTGTTGGTTGGATTGTTTTCATTTGTAAGCAATCTCTTTTTCTACCCCTTTTAAAGCTTTTCTTTATTTCTTTTTCTTTTCAGAGATAAGGTCTCGCTCTGTGGCTATAGCTCACTGCAGCCTCAAATTCCTGCGCTCAAGTAATCCTCCCACCTCAGCTTCCCAAGTAGATGGGACTACAGGTATGTGCCACCAAGCCCAGCTCCTTTCTCAAGCTTTAAAACAACAACGAAAACAAACAAACAAAGGAAAAACCTTTGCATTGTGTAATTTAGATTTATTTTGTAACCATGTTGGATTAAGTATAATTTTTATACTGAGGACTCCTCTCTTTCTTTAAATCGGGGGAAAATAAAAACCAAAATAACGATAACAAAAAATTTTACAATGAGTAACAAATAATAAACCATGATAAAATAGCAACAAAAAACTAGTAAATACTAAATAGATGACTTTCAAAATTCTGTGTCTGAATTTAGTTGAAAAAAATCTCTTGGATTAAAGCAGAAATCATAAAGAAAATCATTTGAATGAAAACATGAGTATCAAAATTACATCCAACATTTTTGGCTTCATCTCATTTTTTAATTCTCTGTTTCTTGAATAGTCAGATATATTTTGGCATTTGCCTTTCTGTTATCCAATGTCTTTACTTTTTTTCCTTTTAACTCTCTCTGCCTCATTCTGAGAAATTTCCTCATGTCTAGATTGCATTTTGTGTGTGTGTGTGTTATATGTATTATATACTGTATTCTTTTTTTTTAATTTTATTATTATTATACTTTAAGTTTTAGGGTATACATGCAGGTTTGTTATATATGTATACATGTGCCATGTTGGTGTGCTGCACCCATTAACTCGTCATTTAGCATTAGGTATATCTCCTAATGCTATCCCTCCCCCCTCCCGCCACCCCACAACAGTCCCTGGTGTGTGATGTTCCCCTTCCTGTGTCCATGTGTTCTCATTGTTCAATTCCCACCTATGAGTGAGAACATGAGGTGTTTGGTTTTTTATCCTTGCGATAGTTTGCTGAGAATGACGGTTTCCAGTTTCATCCATGTCCCTACAAAGGACATGAACTCATCATTTTTTATGGCTGCATAGTATTCCATGGTGTATATGTGCCACATTTTCTTAATCCAGTCTATCGTTGTTGGACATTTAGGTTGGTTCCAAGTCTTTGCTATTGTGAATAGTGCCGCTATAAACATACGTGTGCATGTGTCTTTATAGCAGCATGATTTATAATCCTTTGGGTATATACCCAGTAATGGGATGGCTGGGTCAAATGGTATTTCTAGTTCTAGATCCCTGAGGAATCGCCACACTGACTTCCACAATGGTTGAACTAGTTTACAGTCCCACCAACAGTGTAAAAGTGTTCCTATTTCTCCACATCCTCTCCAGCACCTGTTGTTTCCTGACTTTTTAACGATCGCCATTCTAACTGGTGTCAGATGGTATCTCATTGTGGTTTTGATTTGTATTTCTTTCTCTGATGGCCAGTGATGATGAGCATTTTTTCATGTGTTTTTTGGCTGCATAAATGTCTTCTTTTGAGAAGTGTCTGTTCATATCCTTTGCCCACTTTTTGATGGGGTTGTTTGTTTTTATGAGTGAACTCCCATTCACAATTGCTTCAAAGAGAATAAAATACCTAGGAATCCACCTTACAAGGGATGTGAAGGACCTCTTCAAGGAGAACTACAAACCACTTCTCAATGATATAAAAGAGGATACAAACAAATGGAAGAACATTCCATGCTCATGGGTAGGAAGAATCAATATCGTGAAAATGGTCATACTGCCCAAGGTAATTTATAGATTCAATGCCATCCCCATCACGCTACCAATGACTTTCTTCACAGAATTGGAAAAAACTACTTTAAAGTTCATATGCAACCAAAAAAGAGCCTGCATCGCCAAGTCAATCCTAAGCCAAAAGAACAAAGCTGGAGGCATCACGCTACCTGACTTCAAACTATACTACAAGGCTACAGTAACCAAAACAGCATGGTACTGGTACCAAAACAGAGATATAGACCAATGGAACAGAACAGAGCCCTCAGAAATAATGCCACATATCTACAACTATCTGATCTTTGACAAACCTGACAAAAATAAGCAATGGGGAAAGGATTCCCTATTTAATAAATGGTACTGGGAAAACTGGCTAGCCATATGTAGAAAGCTGAAACTGGATCCCTTCCTTACAACTTATACAACAATTAATTCAAAATGGATTAAAGACTTACATGTTAGACCTAAAACCATCAAACCCTAGAAGAAAACCTAGACAATACCATTCAGGACATAGGCATGGGCGAGGACTTTATGTCTAAAACACCAAAAGCAATGGCAAGAAAAGCCAAAATTGACAAATGGGATCTAATTAAACTAAAGAGCTTCTGCACAGCAAAAGAAACTACCATCAGAGTGAACAGGCAACCTACAGAATGGGAGAAAATTTTTGCAACCTACTCATCTGACAAAGGGCTAATAATATCCAGAATCTACAATGAACTCAAACAAATTTACTAGACTGCATTTTTAAATTCAATTTTCATATTCAAATGCAGTGTCAAATTCCCTTCTTTCTTTCTTTCTTTTCTTTCCTTCCTTTCTTTCTTTCTCTCTCTCTCTCTCCTTCTTTCTTTCTTTCTTTCCTTCTTTCTTGTTTTTTTAAACAGAGTCTTGGTCCATTGCCAGGCTGGAGTGCAGTGGTGTGATCTCAGCTCACTGCAACCTCTGCCTCCTGGGCTCAAGCGATTCTCCTGCTTCAGCCTCCCAAGCAGCTGGGACTACCGGTGTCCACCAAAATACCTGGCTAGTTTTTGTATTTTTAGTAGAGACAGGTTTCACCATGTTGGCCAGGATGTTCTCGATCTCCTGATCTCGTGATCCGCCCGCCTCAGCCTCCCAAAGTGCTGGGATTACAGGAGTGAGCCACCACACTCGGCCAATTCCTCTCTTTTTTGTAGTGTACAGTTTAACCTGTCAATTAAGTCTTTTTAAAAATTTTAGTGACTCACTAGAATTTTCAAGTCTAGAAATCAATGCCACTTAATGCACATTGCTGTTAACTGTGTGAGCTTGGGTTAATCTCTTCTTCAGTTTTCTCATTTGTAAAATGGAGATAACACTAGTTTCTTCCTTAAGGAGTAACATGTTGCCATGATCAAATAAGTTAATATATGTAAGCTGTCTTTGAGATGCTTTAAGTAGGATAAATTATATATTTTTTACATTGCATAGAAATGAAAAGTTGAGTAGGTATATTTTGGGGGCTTACACTCTTTCCCTTCCACCTCTTCAGAGACCTTCTCATTATTTCCTGTAAGTTTTACAAAAGGATGATCTTAATTCTTTACCAGGCAAAAAAAAAAAAAAAAGCCATTTTTTGTTTATTTACCTTTTTTCAATACTTACAGAATATTTTATTCTAAAAAAAATTTTGTCTAGGTGAGGATTTCATTTAATGAGTTTTCCTTATTAATAGCTACCAATGTGTCTTGTCTTAATATCTTTTTCAAACAAGGAAAATTTCTTTTTGCTATACGTCTAATTGCTTTTTTTTTGCTATATTTTCTTCTTAATTTCTGTAAGCTTGTTTCTTCATCTATAAAATAGAGAAAAATGCTACCTACCTCACAGCATTGTCCTGAAAATTACTCATGATAAAGTATGGAAGGAGTCCAGCCCTGGGTGGCATTAACAAATCATATGCCTCCTTAATAACATGACCGAAAGGCATGGCACCACATTCTTAAAGGGGTCCTTGCTGTCTGTATTTCAAATATCTTCTTCTTCTAAATTTTCTCACATTTGAGTTCTTAAACAACAGAAAAAAACTGAGCAGAGGAACTGGCACATTGTTGACACTAAGTAAATGGTAGTTCTCCTAGTCCTTATTTTTATGAACTGGAATTCATACATTGTCTTTTTAGTATTCTTTCTATGTATCTGTCATCATTCTTACTATTTACATCTGTTTTTCTTCCTCTCCATATGATGCTGCTTTTCAGTTTTGTCTTTTATGTCGTTAATTCAACTCTGCTCACACTGCAGGGGGTGGGGGGTTGTGTGCTTTGTTTTGTTTTTAGTTTAGTTATATCATTAGAAAACCTTGGGCAGTCTCGTCTCTTTGCCTTCTGTCATGGTGTGCTCTTCCTGTCACAGTGGCACGCATTTCACTTCAAAAGCAATGTCCTTCTGCCCCTTTCAAAGCACACAAAAAAAGAGTTTCTGAACATTATGTTTCTTTGGAGGATTTTGTTTCTAAAGGATGAAATTGCTCCTTATCAGTAGGAAATGTTCTCGTATATCTTGAAATTAATAACCTCTCTCTTTTGCACTTGTGCCTGTCTAATCAATAGCTCTTATTTTAATATCATGTATTAAAGATTGCTTCCCATAGCACAGTCAACTTACCAGAGTGAGTTGAATATAGAACTCCTTGAAAAGGCAGCTGAAATTTTGTTTTTGGAGTTTACTTTTTCAATGTTTTTGTGACTTTCTGATAGAAGAAATTTAAAGTCTCATGATATAAATTATCATAAAGGGTAGTTTGGGTATAATTTCTAGGTGACATCGATTCTGTGATAATTATTTTTTGGCTGATTTATGTCAAGGGATACCCTGTTATCAGCAGAGATTTTCTCCTTTGGAGTAAAATTATACTTAAAGGCAATAGTCTACCCAAGCCTAAAATCTATTCAAAGGAAACTAGACTCAGGAAAATTGCCTGCATTTTCTATGCACCATCCTTGGTATGCTATTATTCAAATTACCTGTATACCCTTATGAGGACACAGCACACAGAATAAGCATACACTGTTTTCTCAAAGTTGTAATTACAAGCCTTAGGAGCTATCCTATAAACTAAATCTACATGATAAAGCTTTGGTTATCTTCCTATTAGTTATTGATTCCACTAATGGAAAAGAAATTGAGAATTTCTTTCCTTGGGTATTGAAATGAAATTCCTGAGTTCCGAAGTTGTTTTCTTTTAATTGGGAATGCAATGGACATAAAAATGCTCCTGAGAAGAGTGAGACTCCTTGAATATCTGAACTGAGGAAGGCTCTACAAGTCAAACAAACCTTAAGTCAAAGGGCTGTGGGCTTGTTCTGCCCGTGTGGTCCACTGTACTTTAATTATGGAAGTGGAAAAGTTGATATAAAAATATTTTTTTAAAGAGACCATTTTCTATATGGGTTAATTCAACTTTTGTGCCATCAATGAGCCCTGGGGCAGAAACTCATACCTGTGATGTGTCCAGCATCACAACAGGTTTTGCATAGATGGAAAGAGTGTAGCATCAGCACTGATCATGGTGAAAATGGACAATGGTGAGTGAAGTAAGCTCCAGGGTTTTAATCTGATAAGAAAAATATTATTAAACATTTAATTGGGGCCTATTTTTGTGTGAGGTACTTGCATAGATGTTAACCCACTTAGTCATTATGGGCATCCTGCGGGACAGGTATTGTTCTCTCTTATAAGTCAGGGAACTGAGGGTCTTTGGTTCAATAGAAAGCCACCTGGACTGGAGTTAGAAGTGACCAGATCTTTCACTTAATGGTGGAATGGCCTTGGGGAGGTTGCTTATTCTTGGTCATCATTGTGGACTTGGCCCTTATGACGCTGAAGGCCCTTCCAGCTCTGACACCAATGGTTCTAGTTTATTCCACTGCTTGCTAGTGTATTCCACACACAGGTCAAAGACATTGCTGGCAGACATTGTGTGTTCCTTCACGTTTATGTGATTGTGGTTTACAAATAAACTCATTCTTTGTGTATGCCAACTACTCTCTTTAGAATAGACCACAGCCCAATGCCCCACCAGGAGCTGGCTCAGAAAAAGCTCCAGAGGCTACTCATGGCTGGCTTGGAAACCCGTTCTCTGAAAGAAGCCAAAGAAAGATGCCAGTTTGCTCTGCAGGGGAGAAAAGGCCTCATATAGGGTGGGACACAGGCATTCTGTGCTACTCATTCTTTAAGACCAAAGGTAATGATCAACATGCTATTTTTGGTGCCAGCCATGGCCACTGGAGTCACTACTCATTAATACTATGAATGCAACCTTCATATCCATTATGCAGAAGATAAAGGCAGCCAATAGAGCCACAAGTGCTGACTGTGTGACTCAGGCTACAGAAGGAACTTCTGTAGGAAGGGCCAGCTGCTCCCTTCATAGAGACACTTGCACAACCAGGACTTTGTATCATTCTCACTATTCACATAAGACAATGTCTCTCATTTACAAACAGAGCAAGGCTTCTAAAACAGCAATCTTAGCAGCTATCAGTGCCCTAGGGACTATTTTATGAAAACTACTTTGTGAGCCCTATCTATATATTTACACTTTAAACATTAAATTTACTCACATGTAAGCTCTTGTAGAACACATTTGTATGACCTATCCAAAGAGATGTATAAACTATCTGATGAGGCTATTTACTTACTTTAATAAATGAAACGAAACACAAAATGCTTCGAAGACTTTAAAAAATATGAAAATCCCATCATTTCCAGCACCTCAGCAGATAAAATCAGGTGGCTAATCTGGATTTCTCAGCCAATTACTCTTATGTAATGGAGTTTCTGAGAGCCTTTCTCTGCATAGTCATATAAGAACAATATGCAATATCTGCATTTGCAGACTGCCTTTTTTTTGTTTTTGTTTGTTTGTTTTTTGAGACAGAGTCTCACTCTGTCGCCCAAGCTGGAATGCAGCAGCATGATCTCTGCTCACTGCAACTCCACCTCCTGGGTTCTCCTGCCTCAGCCTCCCGAGTAGCTGGGATTACAGGTGCCTGCCACCATGCCTGGCCAATTTTTGTATTTTTAGTAGAGACAGAGTTTCGCCATGTTGACCAGGCTGGTCTCGAACTCCTGACCTTAGGTGATCCGCCTGCCTCGGCCTCCCAAAGTACTGGGATTACAGGTGAAAGCCACCATGCCCAGCCTGCAGCCTGCCTTCTGACTGGCAGTAAGTTTGCAGGACCCCAGCAAAACATTCTTATAGGGACAACAAAAGTGGAAATATATTCCTTAGACACTTGAGAGTGACAGAGTGTGGTCATACTTGGTTTCAGAAATAAGATATTCTTCGTGATGAACAAGCATTAACATTTCATGCACAACAAAACCACTCAACTCTATACCCTCACCTATTTCCTATTGGTATCTTCTCCTTATACCACAGCAATCTATGCAGGATTCCTGGTTCTACTGATCAAGTAGCCTGATGAATTCCCCAAGTGTAAATATCAACAGTTAATAAATCAATTTTCTCTTTAATGGGATAGAGGAGATACTAGTTCTGTGCAACTGGATAAAGACATTCTACTTCACCAGAACTACCAGTTTAGTGATAAACTGGATAAAGGCATTATCCAAACACCCTTCTATGTGCTAGGTGCTTACTGAGACAGAATTTACTCTAAGAGTATTTGTGTGTAAAAAAATAGGCATGGACTGTGTTGCTTTTGCAATTTAATACCCATTTCACCTCAAATATATGGCAGAAAGAACTACAAAGTTGCAAATATAAAGCTTTCAAAAGCAAAACATATTCAATCTCCCTATCCCTCTATAAAAGACTGGAATTCTCCTCAGGCATCCTTTAGATACGCTATCTAGATTTTAAAGTGTCCTTTCAATCCTCTTGTTGAATGCTAACCCCAACCTTCAGGCTGCCCTCACTTCCGATGTGACAGCAACCCTACACCCCTATCCTGACAGAAGGATGGTGGCATTGCCAGGTCCCTATTTCTCCCCCACCTTAGCTGGACGGACATTGTTGCCTTTCAGAGCAGTCAGAGCTCATCATTGTGACCTGTTTTAATCTGACATGTGACTCTTCCACATTTACCAACTCCCCTACAACCTTTTCCTTCCCAGCATCTGTAGTGGCATTAACTTCCTGTTATTTCAGTAATTAAGATAGTCACTCCCAGACGAGATTACTTCACAATATCTGCAGTAGACAAAGGCTAAAAGAGGAATTCTCCTATATTCTAGAGAGGAAAATGATGCTTGACCTTTCAGAACAGAAATGATTGTGTGGGCAAAGGAAAAGATTACTAAAGTGAAGACATCACAGTATTTGGGTCCAGATGGGCTTGGTGTCAACCTCTTGCTCTACTGCTTAGAAGTCGTGAGACTTTAGAGAGATTATTCAACTTTTCTGAGACTTTGTTTCCCTATAGGCAAGCCAAAATAAAATGTCTCCTTGATAGGATTCTAGTGTGGAGTAGGAATTCTAAGTGTCAAATATCTTGCTTACTATAGGTCCTGATGTTTTTACAATCACAGTGATTATCATGGTGGTGATGGTGGAGGTGTTGGAGATGGAAGAGGTTCTGGTGGAGGCAGTAGTGAAGGAGGAAGGTATTGGTCAAGGAGTTGCTGTTGGTGGCGGTGAAAGTGGTAGAGGCGTCATCAGTGCAGTAGTGGTTATGATGTCTCCAAGTCACACATAGAGGAACCCCAAACTTCCAGGGAGATTTCTGAGAAGAGGCTTCAGTTAGTATGAGCTATGGGAAAATAGATTTTCCTTAATTTTCTAGGTAAGTAAACCTTGAATAATAGTGCAAAGTTAGCATGCAGAGTGAAGAGTGAATTCAAATTTGGATGCAGATTTCACTGTGCACATAATCATGTGATATTAGGAAAATGAAAGAAAAAATTTTCGAGGATGAAAACACCCATCTATCTTGAATGCTAAGTTTATATCACTTAATAATGGTAGGAACACAGGGAAAGAATTAGAGAGACATGTACCACACACACACAGGTAAATATACACACACAACTACACACACTCACCTACCTTCTTTTGTTCAATTAACATTAGGAAAGAAGTATTATCAATGCCATTTTACGGATAAGAAAGCTGAGGCTCAGAAAAGGCAGGGGGCACTGTAGGAGGCTTACAGGCTTTGGCATATGACAGATATTGCACTAATCCTTTGATTTCTATGTATCAGTTGTTTGACTTTATCTCTCACTCTCCTCAAACTGCAATTTCTTCATCTTTGATAATGATGCCAATAATTGTCTTGCAGAATTGCTATGAGGAATAAACAAGATATGTTTTTGGTCTACATCATTGGCAATGTCATATAAAGAATCTAACACAATACTTGTTATTGTGTTTAACAAAACACAATATAGAAAGTTTAACAAAAGTCCTGCTTTCCATTATTCATTCATTCACATTTTAATTTATTCTTCCATCCATCCATCTATCCATATATATATTTATATATATATAAAACAAGGTGAGGTCTCACTCTGTTGCCCAGGCTAGTTTTGAACTCCTGGGCTCAAGCTGTCCTCCCACCTCAGCCTCCCAATGTGCTAGAATTACAGGCATGAGCCACTGCTCCTGCCCTGGCCCCATCTATCCTGTAATCCATCCAGCTCGGCTATACTATATGAAAATTCAAGATCAGTTTTAGTCCATGCAAAGGCTCCAAAAATTGCATCAGTTGGAAATTTTGGATTTCAAGAATTATAAAACCTGGCCCAAATCTACATAGGAATTTTATTGCTTAATGTAACCGAAACATCCAACTGTAGGTCTAGCTTTAGGCAAGGCTGAACCATGGGTTCAACTGGTGTCTCTGTGACTCAGTTTCTTTCACCCCCATCTAACATAAAACCCTGTAAGCTGGCTTCTTTCTTGGTCAGACTCTCTTTTAATGATTACAAGATCAGTAGTTTCTGAATACACATACTCCCACTTTAAGTCCAGAACAAGGATAAGATTATTTTCACAACAATATAAAGCCCGGGATTTGACTTCCAGGCAGGATGATGGATCCATTTCTGAACCAGTCACTTGCACCAGTGAGATTGGTTACTCTGTTCAGCTTCAACCAGTTTCTGATTGCCCCTGAAGTATCTGAGGCAAGTCCCGCAAACCACATGCTCTGGAGAGGCAGGAGGATTGCTTGAGGCCAAGAGTTTGAGACCAGCCTGGACAACATAGTGAAAGCTTGTCCCTGCAAAAAATTCAAAAATTAGTTGGGCATGGTAGCATGCACCTGTGGTCCTAGCTACTTGGGAGGCTGAAGAAGGAGGATCACTGGAGTCCAGGAATTTGAAGTTTCAGTGAGCTATGATCGTGCCACTGCATACCAGCCTGGGTGACAGAGTGATACTGTCTCATTAAAAAAATTGTCTTCCTTTCTCCCTATCATGTTGTATAAAATTTCATCATTTGAGATTCACTCATTGAGAACTGTAAGCATTTTCCTGTTCAAGAGCCTCTGGTAAAATTTAAATACCTCATGGAGTTCTGTCTTCATCTTCCCATACTTTATTGACAAATTATTCCAATGCAGCTACAGTTAAACAGGATAAAAATAAAAGTTACCTCAGAGGAGAGTCATAAATGTTGCCAAGTTTGGTCCAATTTCTTTATATTGTTAACATTCAATAAGAAATAACCATTCTATCTGTCATTATCACTATTGTTATCATATACAGAACTCATACAATTCTCAGAGAAGCTGTGTTAAATAGATTAAATAGATTTTCCCACTTTACAGCTGAGAACAGAATGGGGGCTAAGTGAGCCTTAGGGTAACTTTCTGGTCACACGGCTAGTTGGAGGTATACACAGGAGTTGATTCCCCCTCTGTTTGAAGTTCAGGCCTTTGTTATTTTTGCTGCTTTACTCTTCTGATTGCCAAACTCCCCAAGCCAAACTTAACTTCCCAGGAAGAAGGCCCGGTCTGAGCAAGTGCCGAGCCAGCCACAGGGCAAGTGGCCTCTAAGTGCTTGTGATGTGAAACGATGAAAATCACTCACACCATGGATAAAGAACCTGCCTGGATCCAAATGTGGACACCTGAGAGTTCCTGGGACTTATAAAAGTGGAAGCCATTCTGTTTGCCCAGGCATCAAAGGATGCTAGAGTTACTACCATGCATAATCATCCCTTGTGCACCCACAAGTGCACATAGTGAAACCTTGCCCCTGCAAAAAATTCAAAAATTAGTTGGGCAGTTGGGTCCCTGCTCCAGAACCAGTCCTGAAAGAACCTTGAGGCAGCTTCCTAGGAGCCTTTGGCCAAGGCAGAAACACTGAGGGCTCCCTTCTCTGGAGTCTTGAAGTGGCACACAGATTCTAGTTCCTTTTGGCTGGGCAAGCCCCTGTGTTTGGCTTAGGGTGAAATGTATACCACACATCTGGCCACTGGAAAGCTGGGGAGGAACGGTGTGGTCAGTGGGGCTGCAAGGCCATTTCAGGGCGGTTAAGCTGGAGTAACCCGAGTATGGCAGGGCCTGAGTCATCCTGGACTCAGGAAGCTCCCACTTGGGCGGAGTCTGACACCTGAGCTCATCTGTGGCTTTGCCCTGGCTGGCCCTGCCCTGCCCCATCTTGTCCAGTACAGCTCAGCCCAGCCAGCCCAGGCTGGGTCCTGCTGGGTTCCAGCCTGAAGGAACTGAGCCCAAACTGCAGAGCCAGGAGCTCTGAGCAAAGGCAGTGATGTCAGCAAGGGTGGGGTATGATGTGTGCACAGCCCAGGGAGGTATCTGTTTCTGGGTCCATGTGTCCATGTATAAACCCACTATCCTTGTGTGCACCTCCCTGTGACTGTCTATGTGGACATTCTGGGCATCTATGCATATATTTGCGTGAATGCCTGTGGGTGTTGTTGGCTTATGTGTCTGGGCACATTTTCCCTGGGAAATAAGAGTATAATTGCCTTTGTCACAAAATTTGATTGGTTAAAAAGCAGCGGCTATAAAGAGGTTGAAAAAAAATCTCCCTTTTGTGTAAAGTCTCATGCCGAGGGCTGAGGGAGATTTAGGAGAGTGAAAAGAATCAGCCTTTAAACTTAGGAAATGCATAGTCACCTGGGTCAAACACTTGCCTAGGAAAACTGAGCTCCTGCTCCTAGGAATGTTTGTGCAGGACCTAGGACAAGATGTCAAGGAATGGCGGTCACTGTGGTCGAGGTTACCTGAGACATCAGCCTGGGGCAGGTTGGGATGGGGAGAAGAGAGTTGCATGGCAACGATTTATTCTTTTCTCCAAGTATTGACCCCCTTTGATAAATACAGAAATGTTGTTTCTTCCTTTCATAACATCAAAATCCAAGGTATTTTAAAAATGCCTCAAAGCAGTAGGGTGAAATGTTTTTGTTGTTACTGTTGCTGCTGTTGTTCCCCACCTCTGGCAAAATCACACAGACTAGTAACACTAAGATGGGACATCCTGGCATATGGTCCTTCCGGCTCCCTCGTGGGTCTCCTCCTTCCGACCTGGTGGTGCTTGCTGGTGTCTGAGAATGCTGCTCAGATTCAGTGTGGGATGGAATCAGGCAGCCTCCCACTTGGGCTAAGCCATCACGGGCCCCTGCTCTGAAAAAGGTGGATATGACTTAAGAGAAAGCCCCTCAACTGCAAATGAGGAATTCAGGACTCAGAGAACGGGAGTCACTGAGGATTAACAGGAAGTTTAGAGAATAAAATGAGATACTTGTGAAGACTCCTTGAAGAAAGGAAGAAGGATAAAAATAGGGAGGAAGAGGGAAAGAAAAGAGAAAGAGACAGAGAAAGAGAAAGAACAAATAACACCAGATAGTACTCTGATGACACATCTGGAGAAAGGGCTTGGGACCGCTTTCTGTATCTCAAGTTACTCTGTAGGCCCCCTAATCAACTTGGCTTGCACAGCCTGTGGTGTCTCATCTGTCTGCTTAGCACCCAATCCAATAATGATAAATTCATTACCAGAGCAATAACAGCCCCACCCCTGGTGCACCCTCTGTTGTTCTCTGATAAACACCAAGAACAGGCAAGAGCCTATGTTCACTTTATTCACCACTCCAAAAAAACTTGAGAAATTCCCTTGAGGTCTACCTCTTAGATATTGAATGGAATTTTACATCTGTTACACAGGGAGTTTCCGGAGAGGCACTCAAAGTGTCCCTTGTGGAACCAGACACAGAACCTTGGATCCCAAATGTACTCAGTGAATACTTAATAAATGCATGATCACTTAAGGCATCCCACCTAGAGAACTGCCACTTTAGCCTGACAACTCTTATAGATTAAAAGTAAGGCCCCAGATAGAACCCAGGAACCACTGCCACAAGATTGACCCTGGCATTGAGGGTGTTCAACATGGCATATTTCCAACTCTAATACAACTGCTGTAAGCCCCAGGGCTGTGTATTTAGTGCATGGGCACCTGCAGAAATAGCAGGGCTCTCCTTACTCTTTTCACATACTGTGCTCAGTCATCTTCAGTGAGCATTTGACTCTTGGTTTAGTTTAGAAGATATAAAAGTAATACAACTAAGCATATGGTCCTCCTAGTGACCCACATTCCATGGTGTGTAACAGTACCTTGGGCTTGGTGTGGACAGGCCATTAAAATTTCAGGAAGGTCGAATCACATGTGGGCTCCATCAGATTAATGAGGGAAAGTCTCCCATCTTCTGTTAGACATGGTTTCATGACACTCACAGAAAATGCAGGAAACACCTATCACTCTGTGGCCATCTGCATAACAGAGCAACCCAACTCTCTTGACCATTTGTTGATGGGTGAGTAGAGAACAGGCTTGGTGTTCTCTGGCCACCATGGTTAAAATAGGAAACCTCCCTGTACATTTAGACCAAGCTTCTGGAACCCGATAGAACAAAATGGTGCCAAGAACTTAGCAAAGAGAGATTGCCTAAAGCTCCCCAGCTTCTTAGAAAGCAAAACCGCCTATCACCATCTATCACCATAAATGGCCTGCCTGAACTGCTGGTGCCTCAGCCTGCACCATAATATTTTATTCAACTACCAATTCATTACACACACATCCTGAAAGCAAATAATGTTAATGTAAATAATTTGGGAAGCATTGTTCCATCTGTTGAAAATGTGCAGTAGTTGCTTTGCCCCTTGTCTAAACTGGGGCGGCTACTTTCAGGCAAGTTTGGGAGGTAAATGAACTGTCTGGATGCTTTTCTTGGCAGTCTTTCTTATTAGTGGGAGGTGGCAGTAACGAGAACATGAGGAAGACGGAAAGTGTTTACTTAAAGTCATGGCCAAATGGCTAGGGAGAGTTAAGATAAATCATAAGCTGTCAATGATGACAACTTCAGACTGCTACTAGTTCACTCCTGTTTATGGAGTTTCAGATGCTACATTTAGAATGTTGAGGAGTTTATTAAAGTCGTACTGGTAGAAGTTGCTGATTGTTTAGACGTCAATGTTTGAGGCAAGAGGCAGCACCTACCGAGACTAGGAATGATGAGTGTACAAAGCCCTTATCCAGCCATTCCAGGTGACCCTCTGCTTGGTGAATGGGTAACACTGACTCAAATTTCCCTTCAGAACTCAAACTATGGGCCAGGTGCAGTGGCTCATGTTTGTAATCCCAGCACTTTGAGAGGTTGAGGCAGGTGGATCACGAGGTCAGGAGATCGAGACCATCCTGGCTAACAAGGTGAAACCCCGTCTCTACTAAAATTACAAAAAATCAGCCAGGCGTGGTGGCAGGCACCTGTAGTCCCAGCTACTCGGGAGGCTGAGGCAGGAGAATGGCGTGAACCTGGGAGGCGGAGCTTGCAGTGAGCCGAGATTGCACCACTGCACTCCAGCCTGGGCAACAGAGCGAGCGAGACTCCGTCTCAAAAAAAAAAAAAAAACTCAAACTATGGATCAGCTTGGGCTTTCACTACCAAAAAATATTGAAGGGCCAAAGCCAAATGGATAAAAGAGCCTGGTTCTTTGCTTTTCTAATTGCATTTTTTGTTTGTTTCTTTTTCTTTTGAGATGGAGTCTTGCTCTGTCACCCAGGCTGGAGTGCAGTGGTGCAATTTTGGCTCAATACAACCTCTGCCTCCCAGGTTCAAGGGATTCCCCTGCCTTAGCCTCCCAAGTAGCTGGGACTACAGGCATGTGCCACCACATCCGGCTAATTTTTATATTTTTAGTAGAGATGGGGTTGGCCAAGCTGGTCTCGAACTCCTGACCTCATGTGATCCAACCACCTTGGCCTCCCAAAATGCTGGGATTACAGATGTGAGCCACTGTGCCTGGCCTCTAACTGCATTTCTTATCCAAGGCAGTCTTGCTTGGGTGTTGACTCTTGAATTGCAGCTTCGAGGTTGGTGAACGTGAACAAAAGGCCAGATTCTTCTGAGGTTAGCTAGTGTCCTCAATCAACAGTTTTTCCTCAAACTCCTCTCTGAATATATACCCAATCCAAAGATTTGGCTCTTGTGAACCTTCAGTGTTTATTTTACGAAACTGCAATGTCTTTCTCTGTTCTTTGAACTCCCTCATAGAAAGACTGTATGATCAGTGGCAAATGCAGAGAACGTGTACTTCTTTTGCACACAAGGGCAATGAAGAGCTGTAAAGTGCTCCTCCATGACTTGCATATTCCTTTTCTGTAAGTGTCTCTCAAACTTGTATTAAATGCTGGCCAGGGCCCAGAAGGGTCAAAACAATCACAGCAAAAAATGGTGAAGCTGTGATGATAGAAGCTTGTATAAATTATTGAAAAGGGTGAAGGTGGAGAGAGTTCAAATCTCTGAGGAATTTGGGAAAGATGGCACTTAATTGAGATTTTGGAGGTTGGGTAGGAGTTTTCCAGATGAACAAGGGAGGTATGGTTATTCCAGACAGAGGAAATGGCATGTGAAAAGGAAACAAAAAACATGCTCTGGTTGGAGAATTGCTTAGTAACTTAGTGTGCTTCGAGAATGATTTACAATGGACAGTGGTAGAAAGTGAATATGATAATTGATTGTAGGTTTTTAAGAATGGGAATAATGGGCAAAAGGAACAACAAAACAGCAGCATGGAAAACAAAATAACTTTCTACCTCTTCCTTTTGTCTGCACCAGAATACTGCCTTTCTTTCAAACATTTTGGAAAAGACAAAATCACCCAGAATTTCAAATCGTAGATTCTTTGGAAAGAGAAGATTGATTTCTTTCTTCAGAAGGAAATCAAACTAAAATAATCTGGGGTGTTTTATCAATAGGGTTAAAATTCTGTGTTTTCAAGTAGGAGAGATGAGGTTTGAAAAGAAAACAGGAGGTTTCAGACATAACCAGTAGCATGAAAAGTTAACGTGGGAAATCATAATGAAGGGGGTGGGAAGAGTTAGTTAGATGTATCTTCAGTACGCACCTCCCTCATCCCACCTGTTTTGAGTTGCACCAAATCTCCTTAAAAGATTATAGTTCTAACCGCCAGAACCTGTAAATGTGACCTCATTTGGAAACAGGGTCTTTGCAGAGATCAAGTTAAGATGAGATCATTAGGGTGAGCCCTAATCCAGTATGAATGTGTCCTAAGAAAAGGAAAAATCTGGACACAGAGACACACCCACACAGGGAGAATGCCATGTGAAAATGAAGGCAGAAATTATGGTGATACTTCTACAAACCAAGGAACGCCAAAGTTTGCCAGCAACCACCAGAAGCCAGGAAAGAGGCACAGAACAGACCCTTCCTCATGGCCCTCAGAGGAAACCAACACTGCCGACACCTTGATTTCAGATTTATAGCCTCCAGCAGTTTAAGAAAGTGAATTTCTCTTAAGCTTCCCAGTTTGTGGCACTCAGACCCAGACAACTAATACAGCATCAGACTGTGGACTCAGCTTTGAAACAGCCTTGCTGATGGGGAGAGAATTCAAGACAGATGGGAAATAAGCATCCAGGAGCCAAGAAGCATGGGGCCCTGGATGGTTCTGCGCAGCATAAGGTGACTGTACAGACCATGGCTGTCTATGTTAGGCCAGTACATGGCTATTTGATACTATTCAAAGGAAAATTGATTTTGTGATGATGAACCTGAAAGGGTTTTAGATGGATGAGTACTGTAGAGTTCAAATAAGTGTTTCATCAGGGATCAAAATAAGTTCTTTTTTGACTGAAAAGAAATATATACATATATATATAATTTTTAATACACACACATATTTATTTTAATATAGCTATCCGAGGAAATACATGGCATAGAATTTTAAGGTGTGTGCCTCAAAAGAGAAGGAATGATTATCCACTTTTTTCCCTAAAAGTTTAGTCACCAATATTAACACTGAGGAGACTGTAGAGGGTTTTAAACAGATGTGTTCATAAGTCATAAGGCATCAGCCTTATAAAACATAGCTACAAAACAAGGCATTGTTTCAATATCCATGTTAAAGCATGAACCCTGTCTGGCCATCTGCTGGAAGTGCTCTCTCCCCTCAAAATATCTGCAGGCATTTCTCAGACTTTCACCTTTTCTTCAACAATCCCCTTGCCTCTGCTCTGACCCTTCTCTGCGCTGGTATGTTCTTAGTGTCCTTCCTTAATAACAGCTGTTGAGAGTGTTATTCTGCTGGCACTGTCATCTCCATGCATGTCCACCTGGAATTCCCTCTTCCCTCCAGGCTCAGAAAGTGAATGCTCCTTTCTTTGGCTCTCCCAGCTCCACTGATAGCAGACTAAGATTTTAACAATACTTGCCAAAAGTCTAGGGGAAAGAGTAGTTCAACTTACAAAATAATGCAGGTATTCAAACCCCAATCTTGTCTTGATGGCACACCTCAGAGTCAAAGCCAGACTCCTCTCTGGTTCTGTATGGATGTCCTTCCTTGGTTCAGTTCTAAGGTGGCCCTAAAGTTGTTACCCCCAGGAGAAATCCTTCTCCCTGTTCACCAGTGAGTATCTCTTAGATCTCTGTGGAACAGACGTGGCAAGACACATAATCAACCACATATTTAACATTCATTCCGTCATTCAGCAAATATATATTAGATGCTGACAACAAGGAACAAGAGAGACAAACCTCCGTTCTTGTGAGACTTATGTTCTAGTGGGAGAAGAAAAAGCACAAGGAAACAAAGGGAAAACATTAGGGAATGTGGTTAGTGCTGCAAAGGAAATGGAAAGGTGGATACGTACAGGCACAGTATCCTAGGATGGAACAGGAAGGGGGAAAATGAATAACATTTTCTAAATTAACAAAATGACAACATTACATGGTAGCACAAGTATCACAAGTATCACAAGAAAGGTACTGATGGGGATGGAAAGAAAGAGAGTTCTCCCCGCTGTTTTACTGTGAAGCTGTGATTCTACGCAGACCTGCTCCCACTGGCCTTTCTCAGTGTCTTGTGAGATTTTGTGCTCATTTAACATAAAATATTGTGGTCCAAGGATAACAGTGCTTATTGTGCTTCTGCCCTCCCTCCCTTCCCTATAGATTAAGGATCATTTTCCTTTGTGGAGAGGAAATAGAGGAGAGTTCAGTCCTAAACCACAAGGGATACTTTAAGATGTTGACCAATCGTTTTTGCCAGTGCCCAGTGGCACATAGAGTATGTGCTTCTATAAACATGGATCTAGATGTATGCACTTACACACACACACACACACACACACACACACACACACATTTAGAGTGTAAAATAACATAAAAGCTAGAAAGCACATTTATATACATTTATGCATAACTAAGGAAACCCTCATTTTCTGGAACCTGTTAATGAGATCAGTTATAATAAATACATAATATATTTAATACAAAATGTAAGTACATATCCCTACAATTGTTTCAACTCAATAGTTGTTTTAACTCAGGTATCTAGCTACTTGGGGTGATCAAGCATATGATTAAGGTGATTATAAATTTTCATAAGAAAGAATGTTTTCTTTAGAAGGCAGAAGAATGTCTCACTGTGAAGAAGCTCCTGATCTTGACAATTATAAGAAAACTTTTAGACCGTGGTCTCCTATATTTCAAAATAAATGTGAGAGTAATTTTTTTTTTTGAGACAGTGTTTTGCTCTGTCGCCCAGGCTGGAGTGCAGTGGCACAATCATGGCTCACTGCAGCTTTGCCCTACCATCCTCAAGCAATCCTCCTGCCTCAGTCTCCTGAGTAGCTGGAACTACAGGCGCACACCACCAAACCCGACTAATTATTTTTACTTTTCTTTGTAGCGATGGGGTCTCACTATGTTGCCCAGGCTGGTCTCAAACTACAGTGGCTCAAACAATCCTTCCAGTACTGCCTCCCGAGGTGCTGGGATTATAAGCGTGAGCCACAGCACCTGGCCACAGAGTACATTTTAAATGTCTTAATAAAACGTGACAGGTAAGTGAAGTGATAGATACGTTAAATTGCTTGATTTAATCATTCTATATTGTATACATAAATCAAAACATCATGTTGTACCTCACAAATGTATACAATCATGGTTTGTCAATCAAAAATAATATTGAAAGAAAAATTATTTAGAGAATGCTACAAAGAACATGGTGAACAATGCTTGCTTGGCTCCGTTTGTATACAGAAAACATAGAGTAATTCAGTGTCTACTTTGAATATTTTTATGCAGGCCAAATTGCAATGGCTAATGAGACAAAAAAAATCAAGTGATTTCCAAAACCTGTTGTAATTAATTGTACAATTCTGGTATGAGAATCTCAGATTTTTTTTTTTTTTTTTTAATGACTGTAGCATAGACTCTGGACTTAGCCCAAGATCACATTTATTAGCTATGAGATAGATATGATTTGGCTCTGTGTCCCCACCCAAATCTCACCTTGAAATATAATAATCCCCGCGTGCCAAGGGCAGGACCAGATGCAGATAATTGAATCATGGGGGCAGTTTCCATCATGCCGTTCTCACGATAATGAGTGGGTCTCATGAGATCTGATGGGTTTATAAGAGGCATCCCCCTTCGCTCGGCACTCATTCTCTCTCCTGCTGCCCTGTGAAAGGGCACCTTCTGCCATGATTGTAAGTTTTCTGAGGCCTCCCCACCCCTGCAGAACTGTGAGTCAATTAAACCTCTTTCCTTTATAAATTACCCAGTGTCGGGTATTTCTTCGTAGCAGCGTGAGAACAGACTAATACAGAGATCTTGGTCAAATTAATCTTTCTGAGGCTCCTTTTTGATACCTGCATAGCTGTCACTGTGATTCTTGCTTGGATTCTCACACCCTGGGAGGGTCAGGATTGCTAGGCAAAGGTTAACAAGGGTTAGTATTATTATTATTTTTTTAACTTGAACCATTCAATGTATGGGCTGGGACCTGTGGGCTTCTTGCAATATCTTACTCTAAAAAAAGATGTACATGTGATGGTTGCAGGAGTTCCCGTATAAATTCCCCTCCAAGGTGCAAGGGACTCACAACTCTAGTATTAATGACGACAATAAAACAACAACCTCAAAATAAATAAAAGCCTTTCTTTCTCTTTTAACCAATCTTTGACTTGTACGGGGTTGGGGAAACAGTTTCTTCACCCTCTTGCCCTGTTCTTCACTTTTTCCTAAGAAACTGAGGTACTAAACTATGTTGGATTCTCTGCTGCTGGGGTGGTCCATATTCACTAGTGGGAAGTTCATCATAGGCTAAAATTTACTTTCTCCTTTAATCTTATGGCTAGATTGGTGACAGGGCCTTAGTTTAGCCATCTCTTCTTTTCTTCTTGTACTCAGGGTTTTATGCTGGAACACACACTCCCTCTCTATCTATCACTTAGACATTAGGTTCAGAAGATCTGTCTGCCTGATGACAGATAACTTTTTATAGAAGAGCTGTTTTTTATGGTAGAGTACATTTCATTTGTTTGTTGTCTTGTTTTAATAAAAGACCCTGTCTCTGAAATTTCTCCAGGTTAATTTTATTTCTTTTTCCATGCAATACTTTCCTTATTTATTACTTCTGTCTCCTGTTCCATGTGAGCAGCCCAAGGATGCTAAGATTCTAAGATAAGATATTTAATTTAGAGTTTGGTGGTCTGGACTGTGATCTGAGAGTATGCCATGTGTCCTAGGCAAATTACCAGAAAGTTCTGCATTTGTTTATTTGGCATTAGCCAGGCTAATAATGAAGCGGACTTTAATTTCTCATTTGCTGTGGTCCCTTGTTTTTATGGGGACATTACAGGAAAAAGCTGTGAGATTAAGGCAGGATTCATATGTTCCTGTTCCCCTGTCCCCAGGAAAATGCCATCTAATGTTATAAAATGTCATCCCTCTTTCTAAAACATCACTTTTCCATTGAGAATACAGCCATCAAAACTTTTTCTAGATTTGAAGCATATGCACAATTCTTTTCCAAATCTTTACTTAATTAACGTGCCAATACAGATGAAATTTGAATAATAATGAGGTAACAATACAGTTGGAAAGTACTTAGTTGTGGTCCCAGATACCAAGGCAATGAGATCTCGGCTGCGAAGTGTGTCATCAGCATCTGGCTTTCTGGGTTATGATGTGGTCAGGGATGTGTCTTCTGGCCCATTTTGGAGGCGCAAAAATGGTGATCCATGTTTGGATTTATGTGGAAGGGACAGTTCCACAGTATGGAAAAGGGGAGACAGTCCCAGGAAGCGTGAAGAGGAAAGGTCATTGGTAAGTCACTACTCTTTGCTCAGAGTCCCACAGCAAACAGCTCCTCTTGCTCAGGCAGGTGGCTGGATCTTCTGTCCCATCTCTCCCTTAGGTGAGGTCCTTGTTTTTCTTTGCCTTCGCTCCTTTTATACCAGCATGGCTCAGTGGCTCAGTGGCTCAGTGAGGCAAACTGAGGCAAGTTGAACTGTAAACAACCTGGAGCTTCTCAGATGAAAATTCCAGTTTCCTCTAAATTCTAGAGATTTTTCCTAATTAAATACAGTTAAGTAAGTCAATCGTGTGTGGATTTTCCCATCACTGTTTTATCCAGGCTCTTAAATGTGTCTTTTCCTCCCTACTTGTTTAATAACTTTAATCAATTTTACTGATCTTAGAATTTTTTGGGAAGTTAGAGGTAAAAAATTGGCAAAAATGTAGGCCAATTCATTTTAAATCTTAGTAGTTTATCAGGTAAAGACAAAACAAAACAAACAAAAAGAAAATAGGCTTAATAAAATGTGAAATTATTAAAATTCCTCATTTAATCCTTCCTTGTTCCCAGAAAGTCTAGGTAGAAAGCAGCTATCTTTGATGACAGAATGATAAAGAAACCCACCTTTCTCCCAACAATCCATAAACACCCTGAGGTAAGAAACCACCTCCTAATTCTCGATATATCCCTGGTACCTATCCCATGCCCTAACAACTTACAGGCAATTAGCAAATACTTTTTGAAATAACATACAGATGAAATGATTGACTAACAGACTGTGATTTCCCAATCGTTGGTTAACTATTTAAACTATATTTGAATCTCAAGTTTGCAAAAATGGGTTGCCCACTTATTATAAGTCCATCCATGGCCCCCTCTTAGTTTACTATATCTTCTGTTTTCTTCTTCACCCACCACCCTTTCATTTCCAAGTTTCCAAGTACATTAACCTCTCTGTCAACTTTCTTATCTAGAATAACTGTACTAGTTAGGGAACTGCTATCTATTGTTTCAAATAAACCTGAAACCTTGGTGGCTAACAAAGCTGAAATTTATTTTTTGTTCATTTAAAGTTCAGTGTGTATATGCGTGCATGTGTGTGTGTTTGTGTGTGTGCATACATGCATATGCAAATACATACATATGCATTTTGAAGCACTGGGGAGGGGCTGTTTCACACAGTCATCCAGGAACTTAGACCAAGGGAGATCTGCATCAATGCATGCTTTCCAAGGTTACCCAGAAAGAACAGAGAAAGTGGAGACTTGTGTAGATTTTTAGGAGCCAGGCTTAGAACAGGTTACATCATTCCTTCCTGTATCACCAGCCAAAACTCTGGTCCATGGCCACAGCTAACTGCAAGGCAGTCTGGGAAATGGGTTTGATGAACAGGAAGTCAGTCTCAGCTTAGAATTCTTTCAAAACATCATCTCTTTAATTTTCACAATACGGGTACAACCAGAAAAGTAGAATATGTTTTTGCTTTGATGGTGGTTAGAGGGTACACATATTTTTCTGAAGGTATGGAGAATACAATTAATTATGAAATGGTATTGGGCTCTAAATCTCATTTTATTTTTCTTTCACCACTGAAGATTCTTTTGCTATGGTAACATCTAGCACTTATATAAAGCACTTACTTATTATGTACCTCACACTGTTCTAAGCTCTTTGAATGGATACATTTATTTAATACTCATGACAACTCTGTAAAGAAACTAGTGTTAGAAATAGAGACTGTTATTTCTATTTTATAGATGAGGAAACTGTAAATAGTATAACCAGATTATGAACCCAAGAAACTCCAGAATAGCTCACTATACTCTTCATTCATAATTTATAAAAGACTCATCTGTAATCTCCTTTAGAGTTTTTACTTAATTTTCTTAGTTCTCTTTTGGGTGAGGCTTGTTTGATTATTATTTTCAAAGGTGTAGCTTTAGGTTTGATTAATCATGTCCATTGCTATTTATTGTGGTTTGTTTATTTTTTTTCTCCTTTTCTTTGCTATCTTATTAATTTGTTTATTTGGATTTACTCTGTTGCTCTTTGTCTAAATTTTGAATTTAGGTACTTAATACATTTGTTTCCATTTATCTCCTAATTTCTGATAAATAAATATGTTTACAGTTGTAAATTTCCCCCTACAGTCTGGTTTAGCTACATCCCAGAAATTTTTGCATATTATTTTGTCATTGTGATTTACCTTTTAGCACTTAATAATTTTCTTTATAGTTTCTGCTTTAATCTAGGAGTTTTGTAGTTAGTGGCTTATAGAAACAAGGGATTTGAAAGTCATCTGTTTATGATTAGTGAAAGCCAACTGTTTTATTATTGATTTCTGTTACTATTCTGTATTACTTATTATTGATTATAATTTTTTTGTGGGCCAATAGCTGATTTGTTTTGAAATGTTCATGATATTCTCCAAAATGATGTGCATTCTGCTTGTGTTGACTGTAGCATTTCTAAAGTTAACTCTTAGATAAATTGTATTTCACTGTAAAAATCCCTTTTTTGCTTTTTTAAAGTCTTGTTGATATATCAGATCTTGATAGGGTTGCATTAAAATATCCAACTACAATTTTTTATTCTCTCTCCATATTTTTATAAATTGTCTTGTTCTGTATTTTGAGGCTAGTGTATTAGGTTCATGTATATTTCTGATTACTATAGCTTCATGATCTCTTTTTCTTTTTATCAGAATGAGATGCTTTCCTTCATTTTAAAACCACATAAGAATTTTGTGCCTTAAATTTTCTTTTGTCTACGTGCCAAGACAACTCAATGAGGGAGGAATAGTCTTTTCAGCAAAGGGTGCTAAAACAACTGGATATTTACCTGTAAAATAATGAAGTTGGATGAATATCCCACATCATGTACAAACATTAATTCAAAATAGACCTTAGCCATAAATACAAAAATTAATTCAAAATAGACCTTAGCCATAAATACAAGAGCTAAAACTATAAAAATGGTTTTTATAGTTTTAAATGAAAAAAAACATAGGAGTCAATCTTCATGATTTTGGATTAGGCAGTTGTTTACTTTAGATTTAGTTGTTCGATATTCATAACATAGCATACTGGGATTTCTAGTTCATCACCTGTTTTTGTAAATCAAGTTTATTGATGGACAGCATGCTCATTCTCATTCATTTACTTTAGTCTAAGACTGCTTTCATGCTACAATGGTGGATTTGCATAGTTTAGATTGACCATACAAACCATAAGTTATAGATTATTTCTTACTTGGTCCTTTACAGAAAAAGTTTGTCAACCCTCCTGGTTTAGACAATATTAATAGTAATCTTCATAAAAGTTGTTCACCTTTTCTTCCTTATCTTCTTGTTTTCTCCTGGACTAATTCCTATTCTTGTTGAAGTAATTTTCTCCAAGAGTTTCTTCAAAGAGATCCTATGTGTGGTAAACATTCTAAAAACCTTAGATGACTAAAATTATTCTTATTTAGCCCTTAGATTTAAATACTGACTTACTTGGATTTGTAATTTCAGGGTCATTTTTTTTTGAAAATATTGCTTTATTGTCTTTTTCCTTCTGCTTCACTATTGAGAAATCTGATGATTCTTATTTTTTTGGAGAGGATTCACTTTTTTCTTTTGGAAAACCTCTCTTTTTGGTTACCTGAAATTTTAGAATAAATACCTAGTTAATTTTTTCACTGTTACTTACCATGTTTAAAACTCAACAAGCTTCTTTAATCTTTTCAGATTATTTTCTGGTGCATTTATTATAAATATCAACTACTTAGATCATCTATGTCACTTATCTTCTCTTATGTTTTCTTCTTGATCTTTTTTATCCCTTCTTTATGCCTTCTGGGAAACTATTTTGATCAGCAGTTTCTGTTTTGTTATTTCTTTTACCCACTGACATTTTAATTTCAGCAATTATATTTTCATACCCCAAATATCCAAGTGGTTCTTCTACAAAATACATTGGTTTCTTTTTCATGTTTTCAGTGTCCTTGTTTATTATGCCAAAACTATTTTATTGTGTTTACTTTCAATTCTTATCATCTTTTTATTTCATTAGTACTGCTTTCCTCTGGTAGCGATTGTGCCATCATTTCTTTTATTCTGTTTGGCATTCTCATATACCTTAAATATTCCATTTTTCATTTCCTTGCTGCTATCAGATATCATGTCTACTAATAGCTAACTGGAGGAAGAGTTAAGACAATAGACCCTTGCTTGTGTTCAAGGAGATTCAAAGGGTGGGGAGCATGCCTCAGGGTGGAGACCCTCTGGTGTTGCTATCAGGGCTCAATTGTTCTCTGCCCTTTTCCCTAGGGAATCTCTCAGTACCTCTGCCCTAATCTCTTCTCTCCTACGGAGGCAGTTAAGGTGGGGTGAGAAGAGGTGGGAGCAAGTAATGAGTTGGGGCTAGCTGCCCACCTTTAGCATAGCTGTTATATCCCTACCTCAGCCAACTGGCAGCTTCAGCTCTCCTGCTTTTCCTGGCTCAGGTACATTCCTATGCCATGACAACAGCAAGGCAGAATTTGCTCCCCCCCAGGGCAATGTGAGAGAGGGAGAAACAACACAACCCAAGATCTCTCCCAATCATCTCTGCCTCTGAAAAGATTTTGTCACAGTTTTTCAGTTTGTTTTTTGAGACTGGGTCTGTGACAATCAGTAACCGTATCCTTCTGGTCTTATTTCCAGAATTGAGTTTTGAGGGAGGGTGCCAGCAGTTTCTGCCAGTTTGCCTTTTTGTTTCTCTCCATAAAAATGGTTTGGTACATTTTTAATGCAACTATTCCACTTTAGGAACTTAGTTCTGGATGAGAAAAAATAGAAATTATAGCATTTTTATTTTATTTTTCATGCCTTGATTTTTATTACAAGGTGGCAAATGCTCATCATGTTAAACATTAGAAAATAAATATTTTAGATCAGCTGAAATTCCACTAACCAAGGAAAATTGAAATTACAACTGGATGAAGTTCATATTATAATTTTTGACTCTTGGTGTTTCTGGAGAAATTCTGTCAAAAATAACAGAGGTAAAGAATTTTCATTTATCATTCTTTTGGGTTCTAGAATAATCCTTTGGCTTATCCCATGGGCCTAGAAACCAAACTAGGGTGAACTGGGAGAATATGTAGAGCAAAGATCATTTGGGTAAATTGTCAACCTTTGAAGCACACAAAACATCTCCAAATCAATCTTAACAGTAATAGCATGGAAGGCACATGTGTTCCCTGTTGGCCACAGTATCTTCAGAACACCTTTCTTTTTGTAGACAAGTCCACAGAAACTTAAGCAAATAAGAATAATAACAAAAAAATGTGGTGAGAACATCAAAAGTGGCACAGAGTGGGAGGACTCTTAGAGAATATGAGAATCAATCAGCTGCAAATCCTGTTAATATGATCCTAGTGATATATGCAATAAATATTGTTTTAACAAAAAATTATCTTTTAACAGTTTTCAAAAGGTGAGAGAGGCAGTAGAGTACATATGTGAGGTTGTTGAGGAGGGAAGATTTTGGAGCAAGAGGTTATTCTTCATCCCTCAGGACAGAAAGACAATAGATAACACCTAAATGTGAACAATACAAAAATAAAAGAAATATTATCTAGCAAAACAGTTAGTTGAGCAGTACAGCTATGAGTTGGGAAACACAGGGCATGGATCTGCTGTTTTAATAAACCTTGTGATATTGACTTTTTAAATTCATGTACATGTTTTGTTTGGATAAAAACAATTGAATAAACAAGACCAAAAATAAATAAATAAATAAATAAATAAATAGCTTAAGGTAGTGGAAGAAAATGTAAGAGAATGTTTATGGGATCTTAGAGTGCTGAAGTCTTCCTAACAGAAAGGCAAATTATTTGTAAGACTTCCCTGACTGCCCTGTTTATAGTAAATCCTGTCCAGTTTGTCACATATGTAGCAATTTTATTTATGGTGCTCTGAAAATGAAGCTATTTTTTACTTTTAAGTTCTCATATCTATTACCTGAATATAAAATATGCTCAAATGGCATAAAGGGAAAATGGAAAACACACATACAAAACACACTGAAATGTAAATAAAAAACTGTGTTAATAACCAGATAAAAATCGAATGAAACCATGGATATGCTGTCTTGTCAATACCATTGGTAAAGGTGTGCATCTTCAATGGTAGTGCCATTATGGCTATAAGTGCAGAAAGTTTCTAGAAGTAGACTTGCTGGGACAAAGATATGGTACACACAACCAAAATGTTCTCCAAAGGTGTCAATACACACTTTCACAGTGATATCCAGATTATTTGTTGCCCAGACTGGAGTGCAGTGGTACAATCATGGCTCACTGCAGCCTCAACCTCCTGGGATCAAGCAATCCTCCCACCTCAGCCTGACAAGGTGAGCTGTGTGCCACCACACTCAGCTAAATTTTTAATTTTTTGTAGAGATAGGGTTTCACCATGTTGCCCAGGCTGGTCTAGAGCTCCTGGGCTCAAGTGATCCTCCTGCCTTGGCCTCTCAAAGTGTTGGGATTACCGATGTGAGCCACGGCACCCAGCCAAATATATGAGTTTATGATTGATTGATATACATGACCCCAAGTAGTATCTGCTATTTAAATATCACACTATACTTTCATTTTAAGAGTGATCACCTTATAATTAAGATATTTCTAGGAGTGTATGCTTTTTCTAAATAATAATCAGAGGGATAATCTCTCCCATCCACATATGTACGTAGAATGTTTCAAACTCATAGTAGTTTTTCATAAAATAAAGTCATTTACAAACTGCCATGCTAACTTATGATTTCCCTTTCAACTGGTATTGCTGGAGAAAGAACATTTTCTTTCTTCATACAACTATTTCTGGTATAATTCTTCCCTATCTCTTTTACAGATAGTTTTTCCATTGTAACAGATTCCTTTGACTTCAAACATGTCCTTCTTCTCTCCATACTCCACTGCTGTTGTCACTAATAAAGATTTTATGTCCCTCCGCTGCCTAGGAAATCTTGCTCTGGCCACTATAATGCAGACAAGGGAATGGTTTCAACTTTAAGATAGATCATATGATAGGAAAAAAAACAAGTATCAGTAAATTTAAGAAAATATAAATTATATCAAGTACTCTCTTAGACCATGGTGGAATAAAATTGGAAATCAACTCCAAAAGTAACCCTCAAAACTATGCACATACATGGAAATTAACCTCCTCTTGAATGATCACTGAGTAAACAATGAAATCAAGATGGAAATTTAAAAATTCTTTGTACTTGACTATAATAGTGATACAACCTATCAAAACCTCTGGAATATAGCAAAATCGGTGCTAAGAGAAAAGTTTGTAACATTAAATGCCTACATCAAAAAGTCTGAAAGAGTACAAATAAACAATCTGAGGTCACACCTCACAGAACTGGAGAACAAGAACAATCCAAACCTAGACCCAAAAGAAGAAAAGAAGTAAGGAAGATCAGATCAGGACTAAATGAAATTGAATAAAACAAACAATCAAAAAATAGAAAAGATAAATGAAATGAAATGCTGGTTCTTTGAAAAGACAAACAAAATTGATAGGCCGTTAGTGAGATTAACCAAGAAAAGAAGAGAGAAGATTCAAATAAGCTCAATTAGAAACAAAACGGTAGATATTGCTACTGGTAACACAGAAATAGAAAAGATTATTCAAGGCTACTATGAACACCATTAGGTGCATAAACTAGAAAACTTAGAGAAGATAGATAAATTCCTGAAAATATACACCCTTCCTAGATTAAACCAGGAAGATATAAAATCTCTGAACAGGCCAATAACATGCAGTGAGATTAAAATGGTAATAAAAAAAATTACCAACAAAAAAAGTTCAGCATTAGATGGATCCACAGCTGAATTCTATCAGACATTCAAAGAAGAATTGTTACCAATCCTATTGAGCTGTTCCAAAATATAGAGAAAGAGGGAATCCTCCCTAAATCATTCTGTGAAGCCAGTATCACCCTAATACCAAAACCAGGGAAGGACATAACAAAAAAAGAAAACTACAGACCAGTATCCCTGATTAAAATTGATGCAAAAATCCTCAACAAAATACTAGCTAACCAAATCCAACAGTATATCAAAAAGTTAATCCGCCGTGATCAAATGTGTTTCATACCATGGCTGCAGGGATGGTTTAACATGTGTAAGTCAATAAATGTGATACAGCACATAAACAGAATTAAAAACAAAAATCACATGATCATCTCAGTAGACACAGAAAAAGCATTTGACAAATCTAGCATTCCTTTATGATTAAAACCCTCAGCAAAATTAGCATAGAGGGGACATGCCTTAAGGTAATAAAAGCCATCTACCACAAACCCACAGTAAATATTGTACTGAACGGGCAAAAGTTGAAAGCATTCTCTCTGAGAACTGGAACAAGACAAGGATACCCACTTTCACCATTTCTATTCAACATAGTACTGAAAGTTCTAGCCAGAGCAATGAGACAAGAGAAAGAAATAAAGGGCATCTAAATCGAGAAAGAGGAAATTAAACTGTCACTGTTTGCTGATGATATAATTGTTTACCTAGAAAACCCTAAAGACTCATCCAAAAAGCTCCTAGAACTGGTAAATGAATTCAGCAAAGTTTCGGGATACAAAATTAATGTACACAAATCAATAGCTCTGCTATGCAACAACAATGACCAAGCTGAGAATCAAATCAAGAACTCAGCCACTTTCACAATAGCTGCAAAAAAATAAAATACTTAGGAGTATACCTAACCAAGGAGGTAAAAGAGCTCTATAAGGAAAACTATAAAATATTGCTGAAAGGAATCACAGATGACACAAATAAAAACACATCCATGCTCATGGATGGGTAGAATCAATACTGTGAAAATGATGATATTGCCAAAAGCAATCTATAAATTCAATGCAACTCCCATCAAAATAGCACCATCATTCTTCACAGAACTAAAAAAAAAAATCCTAAAATTCATATAGAACCAAAAAATGCGCACATAGCCAAAGCAAGACTAGGCAAAAAGAACAAATCTGGAGGCATCAATATTACCTGCCTTCAAACTATATTATAAGGCCATGTCACCAAAACAGCATGGTACTGGTCTAAAAATAGGCACATAGACCAAGGGAATGGCATAAAGAACCCAGAAATAAAGCCAAATACAGCCAACTGATCTTCCACAAAGCAAACACAAACATAAAGTGGGGAAAGGACACCCTATTCAAAAAATAGTGCTGGGATAGTTGGCAAGCCACATGTAGAAGAATGGAACTGGATCCTTGTCTCTCACTTTCTACAAAAATAAACTCAAGATGGATCAAAGACTTAAATCTAAGACCTGAAACCATAAAGATTCTAGAAGATAACATTGGAAAATCCCTTCTAGACATTGGCTTAGGCAAAGACTTCACGACCAAGAACCCAGAAGCAAATATAACAAAAAGAAGGACAAATAGATGGGACTTCACTAAAAAGCTTCTGCATAGCAAAAGAGATAATCAGCAGAGTTAAAAGACAACCCACAGAGTGGGAGAAAATCTTCACAACCTATACATCTGAGAAGGAACTAATATCCAAAATCTACAAAGAACTCAAACAAATCAGCAAGAAAAAAAAAAAAATCCCATCAAAAAGTGGGCTAAGGACATGAATAGACAATTCCGAAAAGAAGATATACAAATGGCCACAAGCATATGGAAAAATGCTCAACATCACTAATTATCAGGGAAATACAAATCAAAACCTACAATGCAATACCATCTCACTTCTGCAAGAATGGCTATAATAAAAAAATTTAAAAAAATAGATGTTGGCATGTATGTGATGAAAAGGGAACACTTTTACACTATTGGTGAGAATGTAAACTAGTACAACCACTATGGAAAACAGTGTGGAGGTTCCTGAAAGAACTAAAAGTAGATCTACCATTTGATCCAGCAATCCCACTACTAGGTATCTACCCAGAGGAAAAAAGTCATTATATGAAAGAGAGACTTGCACACATATGTTTATAGCACCACAATTTACAATTGTAAAAATATGGAACCAGCCCAGATGCCCAGTCAATGAGTGGATAAAGGAAATGTGATATGTATATATATATGATATATTTGTGAGATATATACGATATATATATAATAAATATATATGATATATATATATTATATATATATATGGCATTTGCAGCAACCCGAATGGAATTCGAGACTATTATTTTAAGTGAAGTAACTCAGGAATGGAAAACCAAACAGTGTATGTTCTCATTTGTATATGAGAGCTAAGCTATGAGGACACAAAAGCATAAGAATAATTCATTGGACTTTGGGGACTTCGGGGGAAGGGTGAGTGGTGGCGAGGGATAAAGAACTACACATTGGGTACAGTGTATACTGCTTGGGTGATGGGTGCACGAAAATCTCAGAATTCACCACTAAAAAACTTATTAATGTAACCAAACACCACCTGGTCCCCCAAGAACGTATTGAAATATAAAAATAAAAAATTGAAAAAAAAAAGACCAGATGACTAAATCCTGGACTGGATTCTAGATCAGAAAACAAAATGCTATGAAGGACAGCATTAGGACACTATACATATGGGACTACATGTTAGGTAATAATATTATATCAATGTTAAATGTAGTTAATTTTAAAATATAAAAATATAAGATCATTTTTTCAGAAGATAAAAATGGAAATCTTTAGGGGTAGAGAATTATATCTGCAACTTATTCTCAAATGGTTCAGCAAACAATAATATTGTAATATATAGTCAGAGAGAATATGCGTTAAAAACAAACATGAAAAAATGCTAATAATTGGTGAAGACAGATAAAGATCCTAGAGGTGTTTATTGCACTATTCTTGTAATTGCTTCTGTAGTTTTGAACTTTTTTCAGAATAAAATTTTTTTTTAAAATTAGAGAATCTAATGCTTATGATAGTCTAATGAGTTATTTGCTTTACTCTGTTCCTAGAGTAAATGTAAATTAACAAGCTATCTGTAAAACAATTGTCAATAAATGTTCAAGGACCTTACAATATTCATACTCTTAATCCAGATCATTGGGAGTTTATCCTAAGAGTCAGTTATGAAATATGGGGGATGGGGGGAAGTATAAAGAGAGGTATTCATGTTACATCATTTAATATATTAAAAATCTGGAAAATAAAAGTAATTCATTAAATTATGGTATATTTCTTAATAAGGCAATAGATTATCAACATATTAAGATTTTTATCCACATTAAAAATACTTGTGTTATGTTATTCTGTGTAAAGAGCCAATATCAAATTATGTATAATTATGATCCCAATGATATACAATTTTTCATAATAAAAACTGATATCCACCAAAATATGAATAATACTTATCCATGGTTGTGAATTATGAGTTATAATTTTCTTTATATTTGTCAATTTTGTTTTGTTTTGCTTTGTTCTGTAGAATAAGAGGGTGGAGCTCTGAGTTAAAGTCCAAGGGATCCCCAGCTAGTTTATGATAATCATCATGATCCTCTGTTTCATCGTCTTCCTCATTTCTTCTGTGATAAACTTTTAAAGATGTGCTTCTCCTACCGTTTGCTGAAGAGAAGACAAAACATGTAACTAGAGTTTCTGGGGTGAAAGGCTGAAGTTGACAGCTACATATTGAAAATACCTTGGAAGTCTTGATCTCTTTGCAAAATGCATGAGTTTATTTCTCATTCTATTTGATAACATTATCTATTGGTTTTAATATAAGAATAATATAGTTGTGTGAAAGTATATGGGAGTATACCATTTTACAAAATAAATTCTTGATTTTCAAATTAATATCCCGAGTCCCTAAACCAAATGAAAACAAAGTAGCTTCAAATAAATGAAGACATCACTGGTGATTGCCTAATTTCCTGCTTCGAATGACTTTCTTTCAGACTGAAATAAAGAACAAGTGGGTATACTTTCTCTAGAAAGGAGGAGTCTAGAAGGAAAAATCCCATGAGATTGGTGTTTAAAAAGGAAAATGCTACTAGGCACATGCAAGAAGGAAATATACTCTTTTATGAGAGGACAGAATTCTGTTTTAATGCAGAACAGTGGGATGTTCCTGGAGGTCACGTGACAAATTGGATCCTATGCAATAACCTATTTGGATCATCAGCACATGTTAAAAAAAATCCCACTGTGAATCTCAGATGAAAAGTTTTGCTAAAATCCAGAGTGCATGGGAGGAGATGATAGACTGGTAGAAAAACAAAGCCCAGAGGAGTGTCTTTAACTTGGTGCTGTGAGATTTACTGGGGCCCGACAGGGGTCAGACTTGAGGTCCTTCCTGTTCACAATCTATAAAAAATGATATAGATTGGTTAATTCTGCTGACACACAGAGCCAAGGGAGGCGTAGCCCTTCAAAAAAAAGTCAGTTAAACTCAGAGTGTTTGGGGCTATTCCCTTGGCCTGAAAATTCTCAGAAATTAGTTGAAGCTAGTTCGTCAGTGGTCACATTTGGGGGAGAATGTACGGCCTATAAAGTAAGTGTAGAAGACCCAATCAAAAGTTGTTTTTGGCACAAGAGGTAAAATTACATTAGTGTAACTTGAATTCCTGGATTGCTTTAGACAATGCCAAGATCTGGGACTCAATTTTAGATAAGGCAAGTTTCCCAGCCTCCTATTTCAGTCATGTCAAAAGAAAGTACAGCAAATGGGAATAGCGCACGTACATTTTTAGTGTGACAGAACATGTCACCTTCAGCTTGCGTCTGATGGCTGACCACAGAGGGGACTGGGACCTGGAATACACTGTGTTCTTCACAACAGACAACCCAGGAAATCGTAGCATGTAGACATTCTCATTTTATCCTTCCCTCCCACTTCATGAAGCCTCAGCAGAAATGCTATCTTTTTCCTGAAGAAGAAATGAGATGCATCCAAATTATTTGCTGTTTAGTATTGAATTTGTTCTTACAATTACAGAGGGGTGAGTGATTCATATAGGACGAAAGGCCCCCTACACTCATGATTTTTTCTGTGGTGCCCATTGCTTTCCTTCTCTCCAGACAAAACATTTTGTTTGGGGTTTACTATAGTGTTTGTTTTTATTTTAATATCAGTAGAAGGAAACTCTGAACACACAACCTTAATTGGAAAAATCTCTTTCCATAGTAAACTAGATTGTTGCACTGTTTAAACACAGCTAGTGAGGTCAGGTTTCTAAATATAGTGTTTTGGTGGAAGTCAGGGGCTTTCTAAGAGTTGAAGAGTTCTGTGACCTGGCTTATGGTTTTTGGAGTGGATTGTTTAGGTTAGAGGAGAGTCTAAAGCCATTTGAATTAGCAAGGTTTTAGGATTATGGATGGTGAAATTTCCCAAAGCAGTTTCAAGATTGAAGGTGGGGAGCCAGACTTCCTGCCAGGCTACAAAGGGGTGCTAAGCATGAGAAAATGGACTCCATAGAGTCTGGCAGATGATCGACATATGGATGAGGAGAGCTGGCTGGTGTCATGAGCCTCAATGAAGGAGAGTTATGTTCAGGAGGGTGGGAAAGCAAGGGTCTAGAAGCTGTCATGTAGGTGCATAAAATGTTTTTCAGTACCTCCTACAACAACCATGGGGCCGTGGGGGTCACATCAACACAAGCAACACCATCATCACAAGTCTGCAGGGTTCCAGAGACTATAGTGTAGGAGAAAGAACACTTTCTGGAATTTGAAGATATAGGAGAAATACAGTGGAGTGGTCTTTCCTAGGAATCCCATGGGAAGCACTGGGAGCTGGCCCGTGAAGGGAGAGGTGGCAGGATTAGGACGAAGGCCACAGGATGTACTGATAAAAACTCAGGAGACACTGCAATCCTGGGAGGTCTCAGGAAAGACCAGGAATTGAGAAACAGATCCACTTGAGTTTGAAGAGAACAAAGGAGCTAAGAGAAATGTAGTTAAATTTTTTGCAAATTATACTCTTCAGCTGGGCATGGTGGCTCATGCCTGTAATCCTAGCAACTCGGGAGGCTGAGGTGGAAGGATCACTTAAGCCCAGAAATTCGAGACTGCAGTGAGCCATGATCGTACCACTGTACTCCTGGCCTGGGGGACAGAGCAAGACCCTGTCTCAAAAAAATAATAAATTAATAAATAATTAAAAAGTCTTCTTAGTACTTGATGAACCTGAGAAATGGGAACTCCATTTCTGGTTAAGTGGTTGATTTCTAAACGTTCTCATTTAGATAACCTCATTCTTGTGTGAATTGGTCTTGTTTTCTGAACCTGGCTTTCCGATTAAAGCAAAATTGGGGTTCACTCCAGTGACATGAACACAAGACTTATATAATTTAGAGAATGTACACCATTTTGTAACAGCGCTGTCTTCCTTTTCAAGTCACGCTAAGGATGACGGCAAGGATGCTGTAGCACTTGGAAGGCCTCAGAGGAGGGGGAAGGAGCTGACTCTAAGAGTAAAAGGTTGAATGATTGTCAGGCGGGGGGCCAAGGAAAAGGGGAACACATCTGCCAACTCTCCACTCCCAGTCCAAGTGCTCCAACTTCCCATCCACCGCCAAGACACATTTTATTTTTCTGACATGAAATATGTATATAATTCTAGCCTGATTTTTTAAAGCACAAGCGGGTTGATTCTGTTTATGCCTCCCTTTACTCCCACCCAGTGCAAACATTGGCTTCCAGCCTGGGGATGACGTCAGGACCTAGCAAACAGAATCCAAGAGCCAGGAAGTAGATGGCTAAGTAAATATGCCCCCCAGTGCTGACATTTTTAACCAGGTAGGTGTAGAGGTGGAGGATCTGGATGGGAAGGCTCAAGCAAGGAAAACAGGTGGGAAAACAGCAACTAGCACTTAATGACTGATTTTTTGCTTGTAGTCTAAAGCCATTTGTCTGGTTTCCATATCTGAACTTCAAGCAGCATCTTCTGGACTTAGTTCTTGGTGGCTGGAGCAGGGAAAGTGTGGCCTCATTGAAATGGGATCAGGTTTCAGGATGTTTCATGTGTGTACCTGAAACACACAGCTTACCATCTTCATGAGCAAAGAGATTTATGTAAGAAAGGAGAGGTAATGTAAATTAAAGGAATTGAGCAATGGAAAATACGTGAGTCCATGAATTAACAGATGAACATTATTGAGCACTTCTGGTGCGCCAAGGCACATCCATACTGATAAAGGAAGCCACCTTGGCAATGTACCTTGTAGCTGTTATCTCATTTCATTTAATCCTCATGTGGCTGCAGGTCAGCAATGGGAAGAACACTTAAAGATATCACTCCCACTGCAGAAGGCAGGAATCCATGGCTTCAAAGATCTTGTGTCATTACTTGTTAACGTTCCTGAAACAATTATTAAATATTATGCAATGTTTCAATACTTCAGTGAGCAGAGTGGTTCTATTTTCTAAGGTTGTGTTCATTCCCAGCACCTAGATCATAATACATGTATTTTTATTACATGCATTTTTGAATGAAAAAATCGTTGATAATGAATGAAGGATTTATTTTCTCTGTTCTTGATTCTGAGAAACAGAAAAGAAGAATGTATGAATTCAGCTCAATTTATACTACTTAATTTTTGGTCTCAAAGAGCTGTAGGAAGGATGTTTATCCCAAACCAAAGCAAGACCTTCCTTTTTTTTTTTTTTTTTTTGACAGAGTCTCACTCTTTGTCACCCAGGCTGGAGTGCAATGGTGCGATCTCGGCTCACTGCAACCTCTGCCTCCCAGGCTCAAGCGGTTCTCCTACATCAGCCTCCCAAGTAGCTGGGATTACAGGCGCCCCCCACCACACCTGGCTAATTTTTGTATTTTTGGTAGAGATGGGGTTTCATTATCTTGGCCAGGCTGATCTCAAACTCCTGACTTCAGGTAATCTGCCCGCCTCGGCCTCCCAAAGTACTAGGATTACAGGCATGAGCTACCATGCCTGGCTGACCTTCCTTCTTTTAAGTGGCTGCTTTACTTTGTTGCTCCTTTATGTTGAGGTGCCAGAGTGCAAGTGTTGTTGAGTGCAAAGTGTTGTTGCTGTGGTCATTAGCTTCAGCATAGGAAATGGCATGTGCTCTTCCAGTAGCCCATGTTAGACCTCATCTAGAGAGAGATTTGACGTTTATGAAACTGAAAAAAAACAGTTAAATCTGTAAGAGATCCTTCACATGTTTGCTCTGGGTCTCTCTTCCCCTTTCTCCCTCTTTCTCTTTCCCTCTCTTAATCTATAACTCTATCTACTAATGTCTCTGTCTGTCTTAGAATGGAGACCTCAAATACCTTCCCTATTACTTTGCCCTGGGTAAGCTCAGAATCTGAAAAGAGTCTTTTTCATAGGTTATGACTCAAAACAGTATTTGTTATTATAAGAATCAAAACCAAAGAACATGCCCATGTAGGGATATGCCTCAAATTCAAGTTATTAATTAATTAATTAGCTGGGTTAATGTTGTGTATTTTTAATTCTCAGTTTTTCATGCCTCTGTGCATGCCCACAGGATATGCTGCCTTTTCACTGGACTGTTCCTTGTGCAACCTCCTCCTCAATTTTTGGCTCGTCTTATATCTATGTTTAGACGCCTGAGCTCATCACTATACTCTCCTTTCTCCAACTGTTGTTGGGTGCATTCCCATGCTCCTGACTGCAAGCTGGACAGTTATGGAGCCGGATTCTCACTAAATTAGGATGGTATCTAAATAGCAAAAGGGCTCTTCTCAGCCAGAACAAAATAATATCTTCTATTTTTAGCCATAATGAGGGAAGTTCTGGAGGATTGTAGCTAAATGTGAGATGATGCTTTATTAGGCTGATGGTCTAATACTATCTTCCATATATTATACTGTTCCCTTTTGAGATGTATTTTTTTTTTCTGTATAACACCAAGTATCACATCTCATCTTTCATACTCCATAACTTCAGGGGGCACATTCAAGCAGACTGCAATGAGAATGGTGCCCCCTGGAAGTTTGCAGGGCATACCCAAACAGCCATATGTGTGGCACATATTCCTAAAGTCATAGTACGTTAGCACTAAAATGGGAAGTATAAATAATGTACTTCAAATTCTACTTTTCACAGATAGAAACTGAGGTCCAGCAATGGAGGTTCTTACATATTTTCATATGGTTATTTATCCGGTGGCTGTATGAGTTCATGTGTAGACCACATATTGCCTTACAATTATTCACTCTTCACACATAATAGCATTTGATGGGGGCTAAACCTTTATTTACCATATAAAGTTATTTAAAAATATTTTCACTTTCATAAACTTATAAGATCCCCACTTCGGCCGGGCGCGGTGGCTCACGCCTGTAATCCCAGCACTTTGGGAGGCCAAGGTGGGCGGATCACGAGGTCAAGAGACTGAGACCATCCTGGCCAACATGGTGAAACCCCATCTCTACTAAAAATACAAAAATTAGCTGGGTGTGGTGGCGTGTGCCTGTAGTCCCAGCTATGAGGTGGGCTGAGGCAGGAGAATCTCTTGAACCTGGCAGGCAGAGGTTGCAGTGAGCCGAGATCACGCCACTACACTCCAGCCTGGTGATAGAGCGAGACTCTGCCTCAAAAAAAAGATCCCCACTTTCCGGCCCCACCAACACAGAAGTTTTCATAATTTAAAAGCCATTAATAATTGAAATAAAATCACAATTTTATTCCAAAATTTTTTGCATGAAAACATAAATACTCTTCCTAAGAAAGAGTTTGGGGTAGCATGAAATATACAAGTATAGACTTTAAAAAATTTCCTAAAAGAACACTCACGATTTTTTTTTTTTTTTAACAGAGGATGCAATCTTGGGCGAAACCTACTTTTTGGTTCCTGTCTACTAAACAGCATAAGCTTTATCTTTGATGCTTAGGTTATCCAGCAAAAGAGAGGTCCATAGCCCCCTGTGCTAGAAAGAGCATGGGCTGGGACTTAAAAGGCAGGTTTCCCTAGACTTGACTGTCTTGAGTTTCACTGTTTGACGCAGTTCATTTTATTTCCTTCCCTGGCCCATAGTTTACCAGTTTGTAAAAACAGGCTAGACTAGCTGATCCCTAAGGGTTCTTTTCATCTTTAATATCTTATAATTTATTTTTCTTGAATTAGGTAGAAGGTAAAGACAAATAGTTGTAATAGCACAGGATTCTGTGAAGATTAAATGATACCTACTGTAGGACGTCTAATTTTCAACCTTGCTGCCTATATTTCCTTTTAATGGGATCATTTTGCTCTACTATTCATAGCTAATATATGACTTCCTCTTTACAATCAACTAGTTTGATATACAGTGAAATCTCCTGGTTCCACCCTATCACTACCACCCCCACTTTCTAAATCTTGGAACTTCTTAGCCTTGAAGCAGTTTCTTGACTCCGAGCTGGGTATTTGTTTACTTGGTGTTTTCTATCATCTGGGAATTCTCATTCAGGACTCTCTGTTCTGTATTCATCCTCTCTCTGGTCTCTGTGCTCTTGGCCTCCTCGCTGATTATTCTCTTGCATGGTTTCTTTCCCTTTATGGCTCCGTTTTTTTTCATTTGTTTCATGTTGTTTGTGTCAGTATATTTAAGCTCGGGGTTGGTTTTTTTGGATCCTTTCTAACAAAACTTTGTTTATGTTTTCCTTTCTTTTTCTCCTTGCTAGATTATCTGTGCCTTTCCTGTAGTTTTATTCTATCAGCAACTGCAGAGAATTTGTTAGTGCAATTGAAGGTTTTCCCATTTGTTTACTGGAAACTTCCTTCTCACTCCAAGTCTTCTTATTCTTAGGAGATGTCACCTTCTATGTAATATCACTTGGATACTGAAAATTCTCCATGAACTGGAAGAATGTATGCTTCAGTGTGGTAAACAGAATTTCTAAAATGACCTCTTCCTCCCTGAGATATCCTGACATAATACCCTAAATTTGTAAATACGATGAAATATTCTTGTGATTTTGTGTTATGCTATATGGTACATGTATTAGGGGGTTTCAGAAAAAGAAACCTATGGGAGATATATATGTATATATACACACACCTATTCTTACACAGATAGGAAGAGAGAGAGAGACAGAGAGAGAGTCTTTATTGATTTCCTTGAAGCAAATAAGGAGGTTTAGAGAGTCTTTATTGATTTCCTTGAAGCAAATAAGGAGGTTTTTCTAAACCAAATGGAGTGTTGGATAAACAAACCACCTAAGGGAAGACAAAAAATATTTTGTGTACCTAGGACAACCATACCTTAAAGGAGATGTTTTCCCAATGTATGCAATAAATATGTTCCGTATTACAGTATTCATACCTAAGTTTATATCTCTAAATGAAAAACAGAAATATATATATTTTTTCAGTTGCAGGTGGCTTAAAGATATACTTATTTAAAGGATTTCAAACTGACCACTCACAGACTAAATACTGTTTGGCCTATACAAACTTTTAAAAATAGGAAAATGTACAAAAAGCCTGCACATGAACCCTTTAATCTATAATACAAGTTGAATTTTTTTTTAAAAAAGACATATTGCTTACAGCAAAATTTACACTAAGAAATTTGGTGGCGTGGCATGGGTTAGGAGACTTGTCCTTGCTGTCTGAACATACTATTTAATCTCTCTGTTACTCAGCTTTCTTATCGGTAAAATGAGTTGGTTAAACAAGATCAAGTGGTGCCAGCCCAAAAGCCTTCAAGGAGCAGGCAAGTGACATGAGAGAGTGAATAGACCAGGTGCAACACAAAAGTGAGTAATGGAACTACAACAATTGGAGCTGCACAAGCTGCTTCAAGGAGGCACCAGCCTGTTATTGTCATGGGGAGAAATGGGCACAGTGTTGCCAGATCTTTTGACTTTTCAAAAGAAGTTGATACCTGTTTATTATAAAGAATTTGCTGCTCAAGTAATTACAGAGGCTGAGAAGTCCCATGATCTGCTGCCTGCAAGCTGGAAACACAGGGAGTTGGTGCTGTTGTTCTGAGAACTGGAGGGTCAATGGCACAATTTCTAGTCGAGGGCAGAGGAGTGATGTCTCAGCACAAGCTGTCAGGCAGAGAGAGAATAAATTCTCCCTTCCTCCACCTTTTTGTTCTATTCAGGCTCTCACTGGATTGGATGAAGCTCACTCACATTGGGCAGGGTCACCTGCTTCACCTAGTCCACCAATTTAAATTTTGATATAATCTGGAAACACTCTCAAAGAAACACACAGAAATAATGTTTAATCTGGGAACCCTGTTTCCCAGTTCAGTGGAAACCATCACAATACATTTGCTTTTATAAATAATGAGTTATCCAAGTGGGCCTGATATAATCATGTGAGTCCTTAACAGCAGAGAGCTTTTTCCAGCTGGAGGCTGAAAGAGAAGTTGGAGGGATTTGAAGTGTGAGTCCTGAATAAACCCTGGCTGCTACAAAGATGGAGGGCCCTATAGAAAGCATGAAGGGGAATATGCGCAGCCTATAGGAGCAGAGAGAACCCCTGACTGGCAGCCAGCAGGGAAATGGGGACCTTATTCCAACAACCAGTAATCTAAGGTAACTAATTTGGCAACAACCTGGGTGAGTTTGGGAGTAATTTCTTCCCCAGAGTCCCTAGATGAGACCCCTGCCTGGCCAGCAAGACCCACTTTCTCCCATGAGACCCTAAGCAGAGAACCAAGTTACAATGTACTAGGACTCCGACTTACAGACACTGTGAGATAACAAATTTGTTATTTAAGCTTGTAAGTTTATGGTAATTTGTTACACAACAACAGACAACTAATATTCCCTGCTGTTGTGCTTCTTTGGTGCCTCTGCCCTCCTCCAAACACTGAGGGCAGGCAAAACTGCCAAGTAATCTATTAAAGTATTCTAATTTAGAATTGCAATATTGCTTTACTTGAAGAGAACGGAGAAGAGTCTATCACAGAGTTTTCCATAATCAGTTACCAGTACCTGAACTCCCTAAATCAGCAAATTATGCCCTAAACTCACTCAATGACACAATAGGTTGTTGGGTTGATGGATAAATTCTGAAAATTTGATTCAAACTCACACCTTCCTGAGTTAAATTGTCCATTTCTTTTCTCTTAGGGTATCTTCAAAACAGCTTATTGAGATAAGCAAGGCAGGAGTTTATTACCCCAATATTAAAGATGAGGAAATTGAGGTCCTGAGGGAACCTGGAGGCTCTCCCACAGTCGATCACTGAGAATCTGACACAAGCTGCACTCAAAAATGCTGCTGTGAAAGGTTACGAGTGTCAGTTACATGCATTTTACAATTTGTTATGGATGTTTTTGTACATGTTAATTTGTTTCATTATCAGGTATTATTATTAAGATAATTTCTATTTGGAAGTAAGGAAGCAATGTTAGAGAGTTTATATAATTTATCCAAAATCACAGCAGCTAGTAACTATGAGAGCTCACCTTAAAAATCTGTCCAATGCCTAGCCTTCCCTTTACCTGAAATAGCAAAAGACCTATTAGGGTGTTAGATCAAGCCCCAAATAATTTGTATCCTTCTTGAGTTAAGTTGGCCAGGCGGGCAAATCAAGACAGCTTAATTCTGTTTGATGGTAGGCTTCCTTCCCACTTTACCATGTCTGATATTAAAAGCTTTGCTTATGATTTTCACTGTGGCAAAGACCAAGGTATTCTCACATCTGTCCTATGTATATGTTTCAATGGTTGAACAGTCATGGGCCAATATTTGCTCATAGAATATCAAATCTACATGTACTTAGTGTGTCAAAAGACAGTTCTTTCAAAATTTTTAGGGTTAGGGAAGATAAAAGAAATGGGGGAAGTCTTGACAGATGATAGGAGGGGTGGGGGAGGGAGAGAGTGGGATGATGGTTCCAGGAATATGGAGAAACTTGGAGAAATGCCCAGAATTGGGAGTGGGAGTTAGGGAATGAGACCCAGAGAAAATAAGGGAGGTGATACAGACAGACTCAAAGTGTAAGGAGGCCTTGAATGTCAGGGCAGGAAGTTTGAAATTGATGATGGAGGGACAGAGGAGACAGAGAGACACGTAGGGAAGTGGGGAGTAGTGTTGTCACGGGAGCCCTGGGGGCCTGTCATGGGCATTAGGAGTCTGAGCAGGCTTGCAGGGGAAAGGAGAATTGGAAATTCTCCCGTGCCTCACAGATATATAAATAAAGCACAATAAGGACTATAATGAGGAAATAAATGTCATAAAAATGTTTGATAGCAGATGGAACATACAAACACAAAAAGATGCCAATAGCCTCCAGCCAAGAGAAATAAGGGAAGGAGCTCGGTCTAGGTGACCCCGAAGCTCTGTTTTAGCTTGCATATTCTGTAATTTCTATGCTTTGATTTATTGAATTTCACTAGTGTTTGCCAGCTACTGCCTATGTAGAAAGCACTATGCTGCACAGTACAGAGTGAGGAGTGAGAGGAAATGTGAGGTTGAATATAATCTAGTTCCCTGCTTGGAAGAAGATTTCTGTATATTGGGGGAGAAGACCCTGCAAACTGTATCACATTCCAGAGTGAGCAAGTGCCCTAAGAGGATTATACATATAATGGAAACCTCAACGGGAGGATGGGTGGACTTCAAGTCATCTGTGAAGGTGATGGTTTTAGACACAGGCAAACCCTATGTCTAGTAGTTCCCTACTAGACAAAGGAAAACCCATATCTAAAGGGGTAAGAAAAATGCTCTGGGTATAATAATTATGGTAAGCAGAATTCCAATCTGATCCCCAGTGAATCCCATCCTTGTATAAGCCCCTCCTCTTGACTGCAGATGGAACTCTAGGCTTGCTGTGTTAGAGGTGGTGGATGTCATTCCCGTAATTACGTTATGTTATATGGCAAAGGCGCGGCAATATTCACTCCTGTGTTTGTTTCTTTATATAAGACTCCATCTCAGCACAGTGGAGAGAGATTTCCTGCCACCTTTGAAGAAATCAGTTGCCATTTGTGAGAATTCCACTTGGCAAGGAAGTATGAGACCCTTTAGGAGTCAAGAGCATTCCCCAGCTGAAGACAACACAAAATAAAGACCTCAATCTTAACAACTCCAAGGAACTACATGCTGTTAGATTGGTGCAAAAGTTACTGTGGTTTTGTCATGAAAAGTATGGCAAAAACCGCAATTACTCTTTTTTTTTTTTTTTTTTGAGACAGAGTCTTGCTCTGCCGCCCAGGCTGGAGTGCAGTGGCGTGATCTCAGCTCACTGCAAGCTCCGTCTCCCAGGTTCACGCCATTCTTCTGCCTCAGCCTCCCGAGTAGCTGGGACTACAGGAGTCTGCCACCATGTCCGGCTAATTTTTTTGTGTTTTTAGTAGAGACAGCGTTTCACCGTGTTAGCCAGGATAGTCTCGATCTCCTGACCTCGTGATCCGCCCGCCTCGGCCTCCCAAAGTGCTGGGATTACAGGCGTGAGCCACCCAAACTGCAATTACTTTTGCACCAACCTAATAATACCAACAAGCAGATGAGCTTGGAAAACACTGCTGAACTCCAGAAAGGAAAGTAGCTCAGGGCATACCTAGAGTGTAGTCTTGCAAGACCATGAGCAGAGGATCCAGCTAACACATGCCTGGACTCTAGACCAGTGGACAGTGAGATAGTAAAGGGTTGTTTCTCAAGCCACCAAATTTGTGGTAATTTGTTGCACAGCAATAGAAATATAATACTATAAGCTATCAGGTTAAGTTTGAGCTCTGAGTACATATTGGGGGTTGGTGGGATGGAAGGCTGAAAAGATTGGGAAGAGACAATTTAGTCTAGTCCAAATTAGAATCTATGCACTGAATGTAGTCTTATTCAAATTAGAACTAAATGAAATTCAGTTTCATTTAGAAACTGAATGTTGGGAATGTTGGGAGACACCATGTGGACTACCATGTTCTGTGGTAATGGTCGTGGCATAGTTTGGGCAGTAAGAGGGAGACTGAATATTCACAAGCTGGTAGGAGTTGTCCCCATACTATCTTTCTGGCACTTGCCTGGCTTGTGCAAGTTTACAGCCATTGCCAGGATTTTCTATGGGGCTCCTCCACTTTCTTTGAAGCTGTTAAAGTCTCATAGCACAAGGTAGTGGAGAAGCACAAGGCAGGAATGAATTATGGCTAGACAGAAGTACCATAGAATTCTGGAAGTTTGAGGTGGGTAGAAGCCTAAAAGGCAGGTCTCCTGTTTCTCTCTATGATGCATGGCCCTTCTCTATAAAGTTTCTGATACATGTATATCCTCCCAAATTACTAACCGACGGCTCACTGCTGTGGAAAGACCGGATTGTTAAAGCACGTCAATCATGAGAAGCTTTATTAATCTGAGCTGTAATTTAATGAAATGGCAATTGTCAGAGGTGAGAGGTGCCTTTAAGATTATCAATTTAAAAGAGGAGAAAACAAGACCCATATAGGAGAAGGGAATTATACACAGTCCCATAGTCACTCGATAACAGGGCCAGATAAAACCAGCACCCCTTCTACCAGCAGCCCCTCATGTATGGAACTGACAAATCAAGGAGGAAGGATTTATTTAAACATTCTATTAGATAAAAATATGGCTGACTTTGCCTTTTGAAATTTATATCCAAACCCAACAATTATCCAAGCATTGCCATGGCTTACTAGAGAGAGCACTGTCAAGTTTGTTATGAGTACATATATCTTTCTGCCATCTGTTATTCTTGACTATTTCTACTTCCCTTTTTTTGTTTAGTATATATTTACTGCATAAATGTGCATCTTTTCTTTTAGAAAAGCAAGGCTAGCAGTAGGTTCATGTTTACTTCTAGGGTTGTCCTCTTAATATTAGGGGGTGACTGACGTCCCTTCTTATCTATGAGACATGCTTTTCTCTCTCTGGGCACAGCCCCCATTGGCTTCCTCTAAATTTCAAGTAGATGCTGAAAATAAAAATCTGCCAAGCACTTCAATTATAATTGCTCTCCAGAACCAGAGCAGCAGAATTGCACCACTAGAATGACACACGAATTTTGGAATGACAGTTGAGGAAATGATACAGCTCAGAATCACCCAACATAGGCACTCTTAACCACAAAGCAAGTTCTGTCTTTTATTTCCTCTGAAATTCTCCCATAGGGAAGACAGAGAGGAAGGAACAGGAAAGAGAAAAAGAGGAAAAAGGAGCATGGGAGGAAGGAAAATTGAGGAAGAGAGACACAGTAGAGTATTGAAATAAGAGAAAAGAAAGGGAACATATAATGTTAGATTTTTTTTCCCTGACTCAAAACATTAAAAGCAATTTATCAAGCTGTGTGTGCACCCAGACATATTTCCCTTGATTGGAATGCTGTGTCTACTTCAGTCTCACAACCAGCCACCCATTAAACACAGATTGATATCCTGGAAATTTGGGTGGAGGTTAGTGACTATCTTAAAATGAAGTGAAATTCCTGTAGCCAGGATGGCTGAGTGAAGCCCCTTGCATCCTACTGTAGGGTCTGTCCAAGGCTTCATCTGATAGGAAATGACAAATAGCCACTCTCCAATAGCAGAATTGCCCCCCTGAGAAGCATTCCTGGGAAAGAGCATAAAACCACAATCAAATGACCATGCTGCTTCCCATATTAAGTACACAGTGAGTGGTTCATGTGTGGGCTTTGGACAGAAGTCTAAATCTCCAGACAGACACTTGGACGGCTGTTGTTCCTAATGACTCCACTGGCCTTGACATGTGAGCAAGCAGGACATGTACCCATTAGAGGCAAATTTTTATTAGAGTGGCCATGCCAGGGATTATTAGGAACTTGTAAAGAATGTAATTACCACTTAAGCTGTATTCAGTTGAATATATTTTAACTATAATTGAAAACAAATGAATGCTTAACTGTATGGTTGGTTAGACCTCCATAACCACTGTTATCTTATTATTTACATTAATTAAAACAACATGCACTGGGATTTATTTGCAAGTGTGCAGTTACAATTCAATAAAGGCTTAAAACAGATTTCTTTATTTAGCGTTTGCTCTTGCAGCATTGGCTCAGTGTTGGCCAGTATGATTTTTGCCACAAACTCTTCTGATCCACTGAAATGAGAAAAGAGAGATGTGTATTTCTTTTCATTAAAATAAAATGAATCCTTTCAAAAAAGCATTTAAACTCATCAAGTTCTTTCTTTTCTTTAGTGTAACAGGAAGGCTACGAATGTTTGTGGCCACCTGACCACTTTAATCTTGATGATTTTCAAAAGAAATCAGCTTTCAGCTTTTGTTGATCATTACAAGTATTTGGGGCTTTGAACTACTGAGAGTATTGTATCTGTTTTTAAGCAAATGCAATCATCAAGAATCTCCTAGTATTTTTTTGCCTCATATTTGATGTTTTTTCCCAACATACTAGGAAAAAGTAATTTTAGGGGAGTTTTCTGTAATTATTTAACTTGCCTTCCGAGGAAACCTCTAAGAGCCTATATTGGAAATACTGGAGCTGACTCTAGCTCCCTTGTTCAATGCAATATTGGGACATGACTTTGTGTCCCTGGACTTTAATTTTGCAATCTGTAAAAATGGGGATAAAAACTTGGTCTTATCTACCTAGCAGGGCTATGTTGAGACTGCAGAAGATAGCACTGGAAGGGTGTTGAAATCTATCATGAATATCCCAGAGGTCAGGATCATGACCCATGGTCATCGCAGACCCATGAAGTTGGTCTTCATTGAAGGCAGCAAGAGTCTGACACTTAGTAAATGCTCAATTAATATTTCTTGAATAGTTTTATGGTATGCATCTTTACTGGTTATCAAGATACATTTAGGACAGGCAGAAATGAACCTCAACCTCAGCTGTGAGGATTTATGTAGTTTGAAAGAAGAGTGCATGTGTTTGCCACAGTGAGCTGCAGGAATGCCTCCTGAAGAGCATTCTGCAAGTGTCTTTTCCACTTGTCCTTCCACCAGTTTTCCTTGGTCTTGTTGTCACAGCTAGCTAACTAATTCTTTGGAAGCATTGCCCTTTTTCATTTTGCTTGTGGTCGTCAACCTTATTGTCAGTTTAAGGGACATCTTTGCTTAGCTAAACACAAACATCCATACATTCTTACATCTTCCAGCGACCATACGATGTGGCAGTGAGAGATGTGAACCTGAGGGCAGTGCCTGGAAGAAGAAGAAGATGTGCCACAGAGAGGACAGGAGCTCAGGATTTGAAATTCTTTAAAAGACTTTGTCATAAGATCCTGACAGAGATGGGGCAAAAGGGTATTTAATTTCAAGGAACCAAATTCTAGGAAATCAAAACTAGTTACAGATGAAGTTCTGGTAAATTATCCTTTATAAAACAACTACCAAATGGACATGGCAGACAAGATTTCATCAAACCTGATCCTTGTGTACTTTCCCACCTTGGTCAGTCATCACTCTCACCACCTCTTTACTCATGAGACACATATACTCTACATGTGAACAGGCAGCAATGTCCCTTTCTCTGAACATGTCATATTTTTATTCTTCTGTACCTTTGTACCTACTGTTATCTCTGCCTGGAATACCTAATTCCTGTCTCCCTTGGAAGCTCAGAGTTTTATGATGGTATAATTTCATGTCTGCCTCCTCCACAACCCATGAGCCTCTTGAGGGCAGAATCTCATCTCAATCATTTTTACACTTTTGAATCTCAGTCAGGTGCTGGCAGGGAGTGTTTATTTACTGAAGGCATATATGTCTTTGGTGTCTGATACAACTTTCTGTGAAGATGTGAATGTTCTAGATGTATGCTCTCTGGTCCAAGAGCCACTAGCCCTATGTGACTATTGAGCACTTGAAGTGTGGCTAGTGCAACTGAGGAGCTAAAGTTTTAATTTTAATAAATTTAAATAGTCACATGTGACTAGTGGCTGCTGCACTGGACAGCACAGCTATAGATGATAAAAGAATGGCCAAAAGAGAGTCTAAGAAATGCTGCTGACATTCTATGACAAGGGGACTTGGCATAAACCCAAATGAGTGAGACCAGAGATGAGAAAGGGCATCCTACTCAACCCCCACATTTCTCCCTCACGCGATACTGATCATGTAGTTCTGCAGCTGGCTTGGAAGCCAGAAGATGCCGGTATGCATAGCTATACTTTCTGTCCCTGACTTGACTCCACTCCTGAATGGTCAACACACTGTGTTTGGTTGGTGCCTGTAAAAAGAATCCTTTCCATAAAGTATGAAGAGGGCTTTGGAAAGGGAATCAAATTCAGTGGCGAGGGAGGGAATGAACTTAGAGTCCACTGAAGGAGCCCTTGTGATGCAAGGCAGTGCTGTAAGACCCTTCTCAGAGTGGAATTGCCTTGTCTTTGGCACACCATTCCTGAAAGGCCGGGAAGGGCCCAGCTCAGACAGGGAGACAGAGAATGTCTGGGTTGGGAAAGAGAAAGAGCACTGCAGGGTCACCAGTTGGAACAGACTGAAACCAAACCCAGCTGGAGGTCAGGCGACATGCTTTCCAGATGTCTCCCAGGGACTGACTCCCATTACTTTCTGCAAAAGAGCTGCTTGAAATAAAAGTGAAATCACCACAGCTCCATAGTCATGTCCTTGACTCCCTAACACTGCCCTTTCCTTGCTGGGGAGCATTTAAATGTTCATCACCTCAAGGGTTTCTGATCGTGGCTTCAGAAGATCTATGAGTCCCCAGAATGGTAGGTCAATTTTGTGTATATAAGTATGTTCCAGAAAAATGACTCAAAGCATTTGTAAAAAGTTCAAGATTTATAAATCAAAAGATTTAGAACTGCTGTTCTATTTTACATCCCACCTGCCCTGTCTCATATGAAGAACCCAAGGCTAAGAGAGCAAAAATGACATTTCCCAGGCCATGCACTGAGTCAGTGGCAGAACAAGAATGGAAGAGGAGAGACCAAAGGGTAGATCTCATAGCTCCTCATCAGAGATCCCATTCTCTCTTCCCCAGCAATCATCAGCACTTTTGGAAGTAGTTGGTCTACCTAATATGCACCCATCATGTCAACGTCAGCCTTGATTTCTCCAGTCTTCATAACATATCGTGAGAAACTTAGTTGCGCTTGGGTGAAATCCAGAGTGAAAGTCAGGTCTTCATGATTCCCAGTGGTCTCTGGGAACTGCAGAATTAACACAAATAATCTGTTCATTCTCAAAGCAACCAAATATTATCTGTAGTCTGAATAAATTACATTTTCCACATACAAATGAGTGCCTTAAAATGAATGCAGATGCTATTGAGATAAAACAAAATGCTAATTTATCTGAAGTTAATTTATTTCAAACAAAGCACTAAAAGTTAAATGACCACAATTGGGGCTACAAGCTTTGAAGTATTTTGATACCATAAAGGAATCCTCACACTCACAAAAGTATGAACCATTAAAGTACGTCTACTACATTTTCCTGATTTGGCAATGAATAAATAAAGTAAGTTCAAGTTTATTTCTCTATAACTAGTGTTTCAAATGTTTTTTCTATTCATTAAATCAAAAAAAGCTGTTGACATATCTCAAGTGATGGTGCCGTATCTCATAATCAGGGTCCCTAATGCTGCCAGGCATTCTCCATTTCATGGAGGCTGCTGCCACTTAGAAGAAGCACACAGGTTTCTGATTTTTAGGAATAGGATGTAGGTACCCCTAGGTATCATTCCTAGGGATATTGCCCGTATCTGTGTGTAGATGGGTTGAGATTATAATATCTTTTTCAAAACTGAGGACAAGTGGTACAGCTATGGATTGTAATGGGAAGGTGGCTCTGGGGTTGACTGGATCCCATTCTGCCAACTGCATGACGGGCAGACTGTCTCATCCTACGTCCTAGAAGGAAACAAATGGCCAGTGCAATCTTCCTGGTTTCCTTATAATAAAGACACCATTTATTATGCTCTCTGCTTTGTTTATTCTCACTGAGATTTTTCATAAATAAAAACAAACTTGTGGATTATACAGTTATGAATATGTAAAACATACTTGTTGGGACCCTCCAGTTGTCTCACATCATTGTTTTCTCCCAAAAGTCCTTAATTAAATTCTAGGTCAAATAAACCCAAGGGAATAAGACCACACATAGTACTTTAAACTGTGTTTTAGAAGATGATGGATTATGCCCTCACAGTAGCAGGTTCTTAAAGACATTTCAACTCAGGGTTGTTTGTTTAGACATCTAGAGACAGGCACCCCATTCTGCAACTAGAGCACAGAGGACCTCCTTCTGCCTGAGTTTTTGGAAGTGGACAGACAAGTGGCCCTGGTCCTGCTACAGGAGGCACACATGACATCTCCCCAAGAAGGCCATGGGGTTGCTTGCCAAAAGGAAGTGAACACCAGCAGGGACTGCAGGAGCAGCAGGAATTCTGTTATAAGGAAGCAGGCTCACTAGGAAAACACATGCAGGTCTTGCTGAGTTTATTTATAGAACCGAGTGGCTCACATGCACCAGACCTACTTCTTGCCCAACGTTGGCAGACATGACTCTCTAGTGTTTTACGTCCTCCAGAGTTAGCACAGGCTTTGGTGCTCTGTGTCCTTTTTTCCAGCCAATAGCCACCATCTTGTAATGTCACCATTTTCTCTACTATGATGCCACTACTCCTGTATCTCATGATGATTCCTTCAGTCATCCATTCCTCATCATAATGGATTTTCAGACTTTTTTCTCCAGAAAGTAGTTTTGACAGTGATCTGTGGGGCATAATCATGAATAGTTTGATTGCTAATGAGAAGGCCAAGAATATTATGTCATCAAGGTGAGTGAAGATGATGGGAGATGAAAAAGGGAACTCTATATCAGCCTACTTTAATGGACCCAATACTTACATGTGTTTTGAGAGTTGAGTTCCAGGTGTAAGAAGTTACCAGGGCCATATATGATTAGAGTTGGAAATAAGTTCTTCAAAAAGCACTTCACATCATGGGCTTTTCTGCTAATTTTTCTTGCTTTTTTCAACTACTAATCAAAGCCAGTAGGGATAGATAACTACTGATTCCATCCCTATCCAAAGCAGGATTTCATAATACCTGATTACAAATATACCCTGTACTTGATATACTCTTGGGATTTTTGCATTCCCCGAAATAGAGGAAAGAAGCTTACAATATCCACCCAATTTACAAAGAAAGAGACTAGTTTTGGGGGTTTAGAATGATATGGTTTGGACCAAAAGATATGATCAGTAAGTGTCATAAAAGCCATGTAAATCTGGAAGATGGTACTTTTACAGATGCCCGAAATAGTCCCAGCCCAGCAAACCCGGTTGATAATGAGTATCTTTTGTCAACAGAGGAGGCCTCCTGGAACTAATTCATAAAAAATAATTCACAGTGGACCAGATGCTTTCAACCACAGGATGTTGAGGATTTTTCACTATAGGTTGAACTTTTAGAAATAACATTTGTCAATGTTGTTTTTATAAGATGATTGATTATTTTAGTTAGCAAGTATTTAATGAACACCTACACTAGATGGATCAGTAACACAAACATGAAAACAGACTTAGTTTTGGGTATAAGGCCCACCCAGATTCAAATGGCTTCTAGGGAGCAAACTTGGTCATTGGTTGAAAGTTAATCCAACACAAAAATATCTTTCTGAACAAAATTTCTGTAAATACGAAAAAAATATAAACCCAGAATGATAGCAATGGAAACACAAATTTCAGTTTCTACAAAAATAGTTTTTTAAAGATCATAGAAGACGAGAAAATAAAAAAAATACTGGCATATTGGAATTGTATGGATAGTTTTTCTCATTTTATATTTAAAGAAACTTAGGCTCAGATAGAGAAGGGATTTTTTTGAAGTAACAGAGTAAAAAATTGAGTAAAATTCCAACTTTTTAACTCCAAGTCTAGCATGTTGCTCCTTTCTCTCCTAATCTTCATTCTTTTCCTATTGCCTTCCTGAGCTACTGGTAACAGTTTTGAGTTTCTTTGTACTGAGGCACTGACGAGGCCAGGAGAAAGTGCACAGGAAGTTATCATTTGCCTGCACATGAGCAACTAGGCTTTTTATTCCCTCAGTTGAAAATGCAGTCTGTTTTTTGGTTGGGTGACATAGCAATTAAAAAATTCTATATGACTAAACATTCTGGTCACCTCTACAGAGGATTATATTTCCCACATGTACTTTTCCACAGAAGCCATCACAGAGCTGTGGTGTGATTCTTTCTTCCCTTCCCTCCAGGTGTCTGTGTCTTTCTCACACATTGTAAGGAACAGGACAGTCCCTCTGATGCGCTGGTACCTGGCCGCCATGCAGATCATGAGGGGAGAGAAGCAGGCTGCTTCGGGGAATCCTGCCATAGAGGCTGGGTGGGAGAGAACAGGAGCTCAGATGTGAAGAACAGGGACAAGGGAGCAAGGTATAGCAGCACCAGCATTTTCAGAGTCAAGGCAAGAAACTGTGAGAAGCCCATCTTAGAAACCCTCTTCTCTGAGCTATCCCAGTAATGCAATTTTATTATACTATTGTGCCCTAAGATAACATTCTTCTACCACGAAGAGGGAGATTGACTATTTTATCAGTCATTAATTTTGGTAAGTATTTTTGAGTCTTATTCATATAATAAAAACTAGATGGAAAAACAGCTGGCAAATTGTATGTGTGTATGTGTGTGTATGATTTATCATATATATCACACATATGATATATAGTGATATATATTATATGTATGTATTATATATACCAGCAGATTTATATATGCTTATCGGTTCTGCTCAGCTTTCTGTTCCCACATGAGTGTGGAATTTATGTTGGGTTCTACAAAAGACAAACCTCCCCACTCAAAGCTTTTGCTCATTCTGGGATTCAAGAGAATTATAAACTACCAATGCAAGGCAAGGTTGGACAAATGGGCAAATGAAGAGTGCTGATAGAGACAGATCCTTGGGAGACTTTGCTATTGATGATTCCTGGACAGAGAGTCCCACCAGAGAACTTTTGCAGTGGCTGGTTTCAAACACCTCTGGTAGCTCCCACAATGACATGCACCTCTGTACTCTCACCCTGATCTCAGCATTGAGGCCTGAAAATACTTGCATTTTCTTTTCTTTAAGAACAAAGATAATCAGTCCTGTTTTTATTCACGTGTTTCTTCTTATTTTATCCCTTGCCAGGACCCCCTGAGGCAGATCCTAGGTAATTCTGGCAGTTGCAGGCTACCTCGGAATAGGGCTGTTTTTTGTTTGCTGTCTGGGTCAGGTCCCGACCAACTTTATGGAGGACCTTTATATTCTCATCCTGGGTTATCATGGAGTTCACAAAGAAGGAATACCTGGTGTTCTAAGAAAGTTATTCAGGAAAAGAAAGAACAGCATTGGTATTCATTTGCCAGATATATATTTATTAAAATAGGGCTTAGTGTTGGAAATAGAAAGAAATAGATAATCCCTGCTGTGGAGAGGCCCACGTTATGGTGGGAAAGCAGACATGGCAACAGGCAATCACAAAATGGCGTGCTGCTAGCAGACAGGTATGCATGCAGTATAATAGTAGCATAGAGAATAAAATCATCTCCCATGTGAGAAGGAGCCATAAAAGAGGTGAGAACTGAGTTGAGCTATAAGGAATAATCTAGGGTTCACCAATCTAGGAAAGGGTAAAAAATAAACAGACAAAAGACACAGCATATGCAATACTGCAGAATACATAATATAGTTAATCTATTACTCTAACTCAAGTGGGATAAGGTGTAGTTTATATTTCCCTCTGAAGCCATTGCAATTTTCCTTTCGCCTATTGGATTTATTGTTTGTTTTGAGAAATCAATAAATAGATAAGGAGGAAAGAATTAAGGGCAGAGCGGGATAGGGAGATAAATAAGAATAAAAGCAAATTTGCTAGACCCTTGCTTACATTATTACCACACGAAAAGACAGATGGGAAAAATCTCCTTCAAAGTCACTGATTCATTTGTGCCAACCCCTAGTAACACCTAGCAACTTCCTATTATTGAAATTGTGAAACTAAGCCTGGAATGGAACATTCTGTATCAGCCTTAGTCATTGATCCCATTGATTCAGCATGGTGCTTCATGGAATCCAAGAGATTGCCTAGAGCAGAATTCATTCTTTCTGTTTCCTCCAAAGTGCCAGCAAAGCATCTTCAAGTGGAGCCAGCTAATCTGAACAGCATTTGAGCATGCGGTGCTCCCATGAGTTACAAGTACGTGAATTACAGGCAAGATGTGCACACAGGGATAGACACCACTGACTCCAGGAGGCCCCCAAGGGAGGAAGACTTCTTGGTCCACCAAGTTTGGTAATACACCTGGATCCTTCAGCAATGGTATACAAAAGAACTCTCCCTGAAGCATAGGATCCTGAATGCAGCATTATTTATGGAAAGTGAGGCAGTACAACGAAGAACCTGGCCTCTTCCTTTCTCCTGGGCTCTGAGTACCTCCCTTGGGAAGGCTGTCCAATCATGGCAGTCAGAGGTTATGTGCAAGTGTTGTTTGAGGGGAGCAGCAAAGAGCCGACTGCAGGTGTGGGCATGCCCCCTCCTCCATCCTAGGCCTTCTGGAGAAGACTGCGCTTTCTGAGAAAGGCCTAATGAAAAGGATCAAGCTCACACAGAGGCCCTGCTGTGCAGGAAGATTGCTTCCAAGAAGCGATTCATTTTTAGTTTAACAACTGTGCGTTTGGTCCCCACACAATTTATCTTCATGCAAAATCACATACCTGTGTGCCAGATGTGCACAGCTGTATATGAGCAACTGCTGATCTATCTGTATCACATGCCAAGTGCCTGTTTCTTTAAATTAGGGTGGGTTGGGATTTGGGCCATGTGAAAATTTCATTTTGAAACCAGAAACCAAGCAAGCCCTGACTGTGGAGGGGCGGGGGCGGGGGGCGGGCGTTGAGCATAGCATGATGATGAACCAAGGTTGACTTAGTCTTTTCCAGGACCCCCCAGAAACTCCCCCCTTTCACGACCCCTAAAATTCAGCTGCATTCTAGGTCTGGAGAGGTTAGGCTATCTGGAGACTTAGTTCTGCCAAAGTGTGCGGCCCTTGTAAATGCCTGTGGTGAAACTGCAAAACCTCTGCCCAGCCCTCAGGAGCTCTTGAAGCAAAATAGAACTTGACATTTTTAGATGGTGTTTGAGTTTTTACCCTCTGGATTCAGAAGAAGCAAGACCACAGTACACAAAATGAAGGCTACTACCCCAGTAGCGGGGCATTGCAATCCACCCAAGAGCAGGAAACTGAAGTGATGAGGGGACCGTTCCTCTGGAAACCCACAGCTTTGCGTGCACTGAGGGATCCACAACAGAACACGTGGACGTTTCCCCTCTGGTCTTGCCTATTTGTGCTTTCATAGCCAAAGAAAGTCAATAGGAAAAGGAGACTCATCCATCATTTTGTCAGTTTATGACTTATTTTTGAGTATCCACTAATGCTAGGTGTCCAGGTAGATATCAACAGGAGGTAAAGGAGTATAGTGCTTGACCCATAATAAATATTCAATATATGTTATTTGCTGATAAGGTGATTGCAGATGTACTATTTTTTTTTTTAATTTTTGAGGACCTACCAGATGTCAGATACTATGCATAAAATCCCCTGTTAATTCTCACATCGCAACAAAGCAGGCAATATTACTCCTATTTTGCCAGTAGGAAAACTGAGGCTCAGAGAGGTTACAAAACTTAATTTTAAAAGTCATGTATCTCATACATGGTGGAGTTAGGCTTAAGATTTAGCTGTGTTTGATTTCAAATTCTGTCTTCGTTCCACCATGCTGCTGTTGTTTCTTCTCTAGCAGTTCTCAGAGCCTCAAGAGAAGGCTTTTCCCTCTAGGAGTGTACTGCATTTGCTCCTTCTGGCCTGGAGACCTGCCCCTTTAATAGGTAACCTGGATGAAAGACCCCAGAGCGACCTCCCCACAGTTACACCTCCTAGTTCCTTTCTGGTTCTCACATGGGCAGGCACTGATAAATCAGCTCACGGTACACAGGCTCAGTTTGAATTTCAACAACATTTTCTAAAAACAGTAACCAGATGCAATTCAAATCACATTTTGTCCACATAAGGAATCCATTCCAAGAAAAGTCAGAGGATGCGTCTCAGTCAGATGAGTGGCTTCTAATCTTCCCTGGCCTTGTTTTAGAACTCCAAGAAGAAATAATATCCAGATTAATTTTAGAGTTCAGTCATTGAATTTGGTCTCAGGAAAATTGCATATATAATTTAGTCTTATAACGATAACCCCGAGATCAAAGATCACTCAAGGGTAGTGATCCCTCTAGACACCTGTCACACTCAAAACAATTTCCTCTTTTCAGTTTAAAGAACTATTTCAGACTTTGTTTTCTCACAGGCTACTTTGAAGAAACAGGCCACCATCCTGGGAGTAAAACAGAGTTCTTCACGAATTACATCATTTATTTTTCAACAAATATTAACTTAATTTGGTTTAGTTTAATAAGAGCGCATGATCACAGATTTGATAACCAAATGGATTCCTTGACATAAACTTCAGTCCTGGTTTAGCTCTCTTCCAGGAAGAAAAACAAAGTCTCTCAAAGGTAATTGGTATATCACTCTTCCAAAGTGGGAAAAAAAAGAAAGGGTAGGCTTTCAATTTTCTTAAACATAAAACTCAAAATCCACATATAATAATAAACAAATGGTTTAAGGCATTTTATGTCATAAATGTCCTGCCATTATTTAGTTATGAATTTTCAGGTTCAGGAATTATGCTAAAACCCAAGAGTCATTATGGAATGTCTGCATATTTGATTTCCAAAGCTCCAGATAGGTTTTAATGTGTTCAATATTATACCACTGTACTCCCCAAACTATTTCTGTATCCTCAGAGACATGTCCTAATAGCAGGCCTCTGTGTCTTCTGCTTAGTGAAAAGTGTGAATAATAGCTCCAAAAAGAATATATATGTAATATATAGCTTTTTTTTTTTTTTTTACTTTAACATATGTTCCCACATAGCCAAATGATTCAACTCAGTACAGTTAACAACTTAGAAAGGGATTCATTGAATTTTCCAGGTCTCTTCATGGCCAGAGTTGCTTTGTAAGGAGACCCTAAATGTGGAATAATCAACATGTTAAAGTAATCTAGATGTTTATGATTTGATAACTCTTTAGTGCATTGTTTAACAACATGTTTTCAATTTACTTTCCTTCAAATAGCTCCAAATAACCCCGTGATTTTGGATGATTGATTATGGGAATGCTGCTTTCACTGTACATCCAAGGTAATTTTAAAATTACATCTTCTTTTCATTGTTAAGGGGTAAAATCATTTGCAGGTCTTGACATGATTTATCAGAGATAGAGGGACAAAGGGTCAGTCCTGGTCTCACTCTATTAGGACATTATTATGTGATCCCAGAAGGAAAGCATGCAGCTCTGTGGAAGCTGGGTTCTAGTTCCAACATGTCAATAATCAGTTCTGTGGCCCTAGAAAAGTCATCAACTTCCCCGGCCTCACTTTCCTTCCATTTGGAAACCAACAAAACAATTCAAATCAACACTTCTTCCCTAGAGATTGTGATTCATTGTAAGTGGAGATGGGCCCAGAAATCTGTATTTTCTGCTTAAGAACCTGTTGTTTATAACCAGATCGTTTGGAAAATACTAGATTAAATAGCTTCTAAGTCCAAGTCTAAAATTGTACAACTCTAGAACCAAGATTTTCTGTTCTCCAGACATTTTTTCTTTCAATATAACTATTCAATTTTGTAAAATTATTTATCCATCTTAATGACAATCTTACTTCACAGTGACTGATGCCTGTTTCTCTCAGACACTGTGCTCATGCTTGTATGGAAATAACCTGTTTAATCCTACTAAGAACTTCACACTCTCAGTATGTTAGTATGATTATTAATCCTAGACGCTGCAACAGACAAATTCCCCAATCTCAGGGGCTTAACAAAGTAAAGATGTATTTCCTGCATATGTAAAATCCTCCTTCACCTTGTAACTATACTGTCTCAAACACATGTTCTTTATGGGAAGAGAAAGACGGGGACGCTCTGAATGATACCTATCTTGACACTTCTGTTCACAGTTCATTGGTTAAAATATCATATAACCTGACGTAATTGAAAGGCAGGGAAATATAAAGGAACATATACACATCTGGTAAGCAAAATCATCCACAGTAGAGAAGCTAGATTTCACAGTTTAAGAAACTGCAGCTCAGGAAGGCCAATTAAGAGTAGGGTGGGACCGGCCGGGAGCGGTGGCTCACACCTGTAATTCCAGAACTTTGGGAGGCCGAGGCAGGCGGATCAGGAGGTCAGGAGATCAAGACCAACCTGGCTAACACAGTGAAACCCCGTCTCTACTAAAAATAGAAAAAATTAGCTGGGCATGGTGGCAGGCACCTGTAGTCCCAGCTACTTAGGAGACTGAGGCAGAAGAATGGCATGAACCCAGGAGGCAGAGCTTGCAGTGAGCCAAGATTGTGCCACTGCACTCCAGCCTGGGCGACAGAGTGAGTGAGACTCAGTCTCAAAAACAAAACAAACAAACAAACAAAAAAGAGTAGGGTGGGACCATACTTGAATGTCACCTGGCATTTCATACAAAAAAAGAAGGCAGAGTTTCCAAGAATAGAATGTATATTTTTCCTTAGAGAGAAGATTTATTTTTCAAATACATAACTAGAGAAATGATATTGTTAAAGTTGTCCTTGCTACTGTGTCTTTGCATGCTAAAATCAAAAGACATCTTTCTCCTTCAAGCCGGCAGATATTCCTAATAAGGGGCCATGGGGTCTGAGGAGATTGGCTTTGCTGTGGTCTACTGTGAGTGTGACTCACTCATGACAACGAAATAGGGATCTCCGGATGTCAAAAATCATTCTTTCACCTTAGCTTTCCCAAACCGTTCTCATCACAGATCATTTCTTCACAACTGAACCTGTGAAATAACAGCTTTGCCCACTCAGAGCACACCTGTCATAAACAGATACTGTTTTC